>NC_000012.12:73975279-74126794 GCF_000001405.40 Homo sapiens
GGCATTGTTTTGTTGTGATGTCCTTTATTGGTTCTAGTTACAGGGGTTATGTTCAATTCATTCTCTGTAATCTTACAGTTTTTTTTTTCTGTGCTTTGGAAGTTTGTATATAAAATCTAAGTGTTTGTTCATTGAAGGGTGATTAAAAGCTGGACTTGTAATCTATCTAGGCTCAGTGCCTATTTGTGTTAAGCACTTAATAATTGCATTCTGTCTTGTGACTGTTCATTTTTCAAGTTTTCTATTTCTCTTCAATTATTTTTTGTCAATTGAATTGACCTGGAAAATTGGTTTATTCCTTATTAGATTTTAAAATTAATTTGTGTAAAGAAGCACCAACTGTTTTAATAATTTTTACATGCTTTTATATCTATAGTTATATCATTCTTTCTAAATGTTGCTAATTTCTGTTTTGTGTGTTTTTATAAAAACGATTGCTACAGTTTTGTTTGCCTTTTAATTGTCTAACTATGGTATTAATGTATTTTTCCCATTACTTTTCATTTTTCTTTTTCTATAGCTCCTTTTGGTTTATCCTTTTAATTGTCTAACTATGGTATTAATGTATTTTTCCCATTACTTTTCATTTTTCTTTTTCTATAGCTCCTTTTGGTTTATTAGTGGGGTTTTTTTTGGTTTATTTATCTGTTTTTCCACACTCTATATAAAAGCTTACGTTTTCTTGCTTGCTTTTACATTATTGACTTTCAACGTATAAATTTTCTTCTGACTATTGCTCTGTTCACATTTTATAGTTTTTACATATGAAGTATTTATTGTTGTTTGCTACAAGATAACATGTAATTTTTATTTCAATATACTTTATTAACTAACAAATATTTGGGATTATATCATCTTAGTCCATTAATATTTTGATTTTTCCTGTTGTCATTGATATTTTCTTTATTTATATAACATTCTATAACTATAAATAAATAAGTATATATATATAACTAGTTTTTGTTTTTGTGCTGTGTGTCTGGAAAAAAACTTGTTATTTTCTGGTCTTAAAGAGATTTTTTTCTAGAAGCCTCAGCATTTTTCAAAATTAGAAAAGAGTGAGCTCTGAGGGAAATAGAATTCCTGGGGAGCCCATCATAATGATCGAATTGGACTTTAGATGATCAATGTGATCAATGACACCAATCTTTATTAAAAAAGCTCAAAGGTTTCAATATTCCTCTCAGACACGTTGAGTATTTTATGTAATCAAATGTTTTCCTATTTAAACTTTATGTGAAATGACATGTTTTGCAGAGCCAATTTTTTCCCAGAAAGTTTTTAATGTTTTTAAAACAGAACCTACTTTTTTTTTCACAAACATATGTGTCAACAAAAATTATATCCACTCAGGAAATAGAGGTTTTCATTTATTATTGGTTCCTCAGATGTTGGCACAGTTCTCCTAGGTAAGCAGCCTATTAAGGTTAAAATTAATCACAATTATCTAAGTTTTTATTCTTTTGGATTATTCAAATTCTATTAAAAATATCCAAGATTCATAACTTAAATCCCACTGTCAGCTATCATAAATCCAAATACATTCTGTTGCCATAAGCATGGAGACTTTGACAAAGAATAAAGCAATGCTACAGTGCTACTACACCTCCATCTCAAATTATCAATACTTGCCGTTACACATAGACCTATGGTTGTATCACAGCATAACTTAGTATAATCATAGCCTTATTCTAATTTGGAATGCATCCAAGATAGACTGCCACATTTGCACTATCACTCATATTCTACCTGAAAATTCCATGCTAGATTCTATCTTTGACAGTCAACTTTGATTTATTATATGTATATTACACTTCAGCTTCCAGGAGTGGTGAGCTCAGGAAAACACTTCAGAAAGTGTGAGGTGTGTGGACAGGTGAAAGTTTTCCTAAAGCTTCATACAGATATTTAATTCAAACATTTTATGCGTCTGCTTCTATCATAAAGTATAATCTGTTTTCCTTTGGCTCTCACAGCCAGTAAGATTGAGCTTAAATTATCTCTCTCTCTTTGTTGTTTGTCTACTGGATTTAAATATATACTCCAATTTACCTATGACTATTCTATTTATTTTCACTTTAGCAAGTTGTTGTAGGTGATGAGAGAAAAAATTAATTTTTTGACTAGTCTGTCTGACTCCCCACTTGGTTCAGGGAGCAAAAACCTAGCATTCTATCTGAATCTATCCTCATTTACTTTAACTCTTTAGATATAGCTTGAGAGTTGTCTTATTCAACTTAAAGTTAGGACCCAGTTTTAAAAATACAAAATTAGTGAAGGACTACATAGATTCAGACCAAATAATAATTGTCATCTGATGTGATAGTTTAGACAGAGATTTAAAGAATAAATGGGCAAGACATTAACAGTTCTATTAAATAGACATATACAACCCCAAAGCATGGTCTAATTGCACAAATTTAAAGGATTGTTTTCTTTGATTTGCAGTTTAAGAAAACAGTTAATTTTGGCAGCATTAAAATGAGAAGGAAAATAACACTTATTAGATGCTTTTGATATGCTAGGCATTGTGCTAGAGACTCCACATACATTTGCGATGATTAAAAAGTGAAACTTCAAGGTTAAGGAAATAGAAGCGAGGTGAAAAGAAAAAGAACTAAGAATTACTTCAAGAATGCATGGGGGCCGGAGGAGCCAAGATGGCCGAATAGGAACAGCTCCAGTCTACAGCTCCCAGCGTGAGCGACGCAGAAAACGGGTGATTTCTGCATTTCCATCTGAGGTACTGGGTT
This sequence comes from Homo sapiens, assembly GCF_000001405.40. Classification (NCBI taxonomy): domain Eukaryota; kingdom Metazoa; phylum Chordata; class Mammalia; order Primates; family Hominidae; genus Homo; species Homo sapiens. The sequence continues at coordinate 73,978,033 of NC_000012.12, forward strand.
CATCTCACTAGGGAGTGCCAGACAGTGGGCGCAGGAAGCGCAAGGGGTCAGGGAGTTCCCTTTCCTAGTCAAAGAAAGGGGTGACAGACTGCATCTGGAAAATCGGGTCGCGCCCACCCAAATACTGCGCTTTTCCGACGGGCTTAAAAAATAGCGCACCACGAGATTATATCCGACACCTGGCTTGGAGGGTCCTACCCCACGGAGTCTCGCTGATTGCTAGCACAGCAGTCTGAGATCAAACTGCAAGGCGGCAGCGAGGCTGGGGGAGGGGCGCCCACCATTGCCCAGGCGTGCTTAGGTAAACAAAGCAGCCAGGAAGCTCCAACTGGGTGAAGCCCACCACAGCTCAAGGAGGCTGGACTGCCTCTGTAGGCTCCACCTCTGGGGGCAGGGCACAGACAAACAAAAAGACAGCAGTAACCTCTGCAGACTTAAATGTCCCTGTCTGACAGCTTTGAAGAGAGCAGTGGTTCTCCCAGCATGCAGCTGGAGATCTGAGAACGGGCAGACTGCCTCCTGAAGTGGGTCCCTGACCCCTGACCACCGAGCAGCCTAACTGGGAGGCACCCCCCAGCAGGGGCACACAGACATCTCACACAGCAGGGTACTCCAACAGACCTGCAGCTGAGGGTCCTGTCTGTTAGAAGGAAAACTTAACAAACAGAAAGGACATCCACACCAAAAACCCATCTGTACATCACCATCATCAAAGACCAAAAGTAGATAAAACCACAAAGATGGGGAAAAAACAGAACAGAAAAACTGGAAACTCTAAAAAGCAGAGTGCCTCTCCTCCTCCAAAGGAACGCAGTTCCTCACCAGCAACGGAACAAAGCTGGACGGAGAATGACTTTGACGAGCTGAGAGAAGAAGGCTTCAGACGATCAAATTACTCTGAGCTACGGGAAGACATTCAAACCAAAGGCAAAGAAGTTGAAAACTTTGAAAAAAATTTAGAAGAATGTGTAACTAGAATAACCAATACAGATAAGTGCTTAAAGGAGCTGATGAAGCCGAATGCCAAGGCTCGAGAACTACATGAAGAATGCAGAAGCCTCAGGAGCCAATGCAATCAACTGGAAAAAAGGGTATCAGCAATGGAAGATTAAATGAATGAAATGAAGCGAGAAGGGAAGTTTAGAGAAAAAAGAATAAAAAGAAATGAGCAAAGCCTCCAAGAAATATGGGACTATGTGAAAAGACCAAATCTACGTCTGATTGGTGTACCTGAAAGTGATGGGGAGAATGGAACCAAATTGGAAAACACTCTGCAGGATATTATCCAGGAGAACTTCCCCAATCTAGCAAGGCAGGCCAACGTTCAGATTCAGGAAATACAGAGAACGCCACAAAGATACTCCTCCAGAAGAGCAACTCCAAGACACATAATTGTCAGATTCACCAAAGTTGAAATGAAGGAAAAAATGTTAAGGGCAGCCAGAGAGAAAGGTCGGGTTACTCTCAAAGGGAAGCCCATCAGACTAACAGCGGATCTGTTGGCAGAAACCCTACAAGCCAGAAGAGAGTGGGGGCCAATATTCAACATTCTTAAAGAAAAGAATTTTCAATGCAGAATTTCATATCCAGCCAAACTAAGCTTCATAAGTGAAGGAGAAATAAAATACTTTACACACAAGCAAATGCTGAGACATTTTGTCACCACCAGGCCTGCCCTAAAAGAGCTCCTGAAGGAAGTGCTAAACATGGAAAGGAACAACCAGTACCAGCCGCTGCAAAATCATGCCAAAATGTAAAGACCATCGAGACTAGGAAGTAAATGCATCAACTAACGAGCAAAATAACCAGCTAACATCATAATGACAGGATCAAATTCACACATAACAATAATAACTTTAAATGTAAATGGACTAAATGCTCCAATTAAAAGACACAGCCTGGCAAATTGGATAAAGAGTCAACACCCATCAATGTGCTGTATTCAGGAAACCCATCTCACGTGCAGAGACACACATAGGCTCAAAATAAAAGGATGGAGGAAGATCTACCAAGCAAATGGAAAACAAAAAAAAGGCAGGGGTTGCAATCCTAGTCTCTGATAAAACAGACTTTAAACCAACAAAGATCAAAAGAGACAAAGAAGGCCATTACATAATGGTAAAGGGATCAATTCAACAAGAAGAGCTAACTATCCTAAATATATATGCACCCAATACAGGAGCACCCAGATTCATAAAGGAAGTCCTGAGTGACCTACAAAGAGACTTAGACTCCCACATATTAATAATGGGAGACTTTAACACCCCACTGTCAACATTAGACAGATCAACGAGACAGAAAGTCAATAAGGATACCCAGGAATTGAACTCAGCTCTGCACCAAGCGGACCTAATAGACATCTACAGAACTCTCCACCTCAAATCAACAGAATATACATTTTTTTCAGCACCACACCACACCTATTCCAAAATTGACCACATACTTGGAAGTAAAGCTCTCCTCAGCAAATGTAAAAGAACACAAATTATAACAAACTATCTCTCAGACCACAGGGCAATCAAACTAGAACTCAGGATTAAGAATCTCACTCAAAACCGCTCAACTACATGGAAACTGAACAACCTGCTCCTGAATGACTACTGGGTACATAACGAAATGAAGGCAGAAATAAAGATGTTCTTTGAAACCAATGAGAACAAAGACACAACATACCAGAATCTCTGGGACGCATTCAAAGCAGTGTGTAGAGGGAAATTTATAGCACTAAATGCCCATAAGAGGAAGCAGGAAAGATCCAAAATTGACACCCTAACATCACAATTAAAAGAACTAGAAAAGCAAGAGCAAACACATTCAAAAGCTAGCAGAAGGCAAGAAATAACTAAAATCAGAGCAGAACTAAAGGAAATAGAGACACAAAAAACCCTTCAAAAAATTAATGAATCCAGGAGCTGGTTTTTTGAAAGGATCAACAAAATAGATAGACCGCTAGCAAGACTAATAAAGAAAAAAAAGAGAGAAGAATCAAATAGACGCAATAAAAAATGATAAAGGGGATATGACCACTGATCCCACAGAAATACAAACTACCATCAGAGAATACTACAAACACCTCTACGCAAATAAACTAGAAAATCTAGAAGAAATGGATAAATTCCTTGACACATACACTCTCCCAAGACTAAACCAGGAAGAAGTTGAATCTCTGAATAGACCAATAACAGGATCTGAAATTATGGCAATAATCAATAGCTTACCAATCAAAAAGAGTCCAGGACCAGATGGATTCACAGCCGAATTCTACCAGATGTACAAGGAGGAGCTGGTACCATTCCTTCTGAAACTATTCCAATCAATAGAAAAAGAGGGAATCCTCCCTAACTCATTTTATGAGGCCAGCATCATTCTAATACCAAAGCCAGGCAGAGACACAACCAAAAAAGAGAATTTTAGACCAATATCCTTGATGAACATTGATGCAAAAATCCTCAATAAAATACTGGCAAAACGAATCCAGCAGCACATCAAAAACCTTATCCACCATGATCAAGTGGGCTTCATCCCTGGGATGCAAGGCTGGTTCAATATACGCAAATCAATAAATGTAATCCAGCATATAAACAGAGCCAAAGACAAAAACCACATGATTATCTCAATAGATGCAGAAAAGGACTTCAACAAAATTCAACAACCCTTCATGCTAAAAACTCTCAATAAATTAGGTATTGATGGGACGTATTTCAAAATAATAAGAGCTATCTATGACAAACCCACAGCCAATACCGTACTGAATGGGCAAAAACTGGAAGCATTCCCTTTGAAAACTGGCACAAGACAGGGATGCCCTCTCTCACCACTCCTATTCAACATATTGTTGGAAGTTCTGGCCAGGGCAATTAGGCAGGAGAAGGAAATAAAGGGTATTCAATTAGGAAAAGAGGAAGTCAAATTGTCCCTGTTTGCAGACGACATGATTGTATATCTAGAAAACCCCATTGTCTCAGCCCAAAATCTCCTTAAGCTGATAAGAACTTCAGCAAAGTCTCAGGATACAAAATCAATGTGCAAAAATCACAAGCATTCTTATACACCAACAACAGACAAACAGAGAGCCAAATCATGACTGAACTCCCATTCACAATTGCTTCAAAGAAAATAAAATACCTAGGAATCCAACTTACAAGGGATGTGAAGGACCTCTTCAAGGAGAACTACAATCCACTGCTCAAGGAAATAAAAGAGGATACAAACAAATGGAAGAACATTCCATGCTCATGGATAGGAAGAATCAATATCGTGAAAATGGCCATACTGCCCAAGGTAATTTATAGATTCAATGCCATCCCCATCAAGCTACCAATGACTTTCTTCACAGAATTGGAAAAAACTACTTTAAAGTTCATACGGAACCAGAAAAGAGCCCGCATCACCAAGTCAATCCTAAGCCAAAAGAACAAAGCTGGAGGCATCACACTACCTGACTTCAAACTATACTACAAGGCTACAGTAACCAAAACAGCATGGTACTGGTACCAAAACAGAGATATAGATCAATGGAACAGAACAGAGCCCTCAGAAATAATGCCGCATATCTACAACTATCTGATCTTTGACAAACCTGAGAAAAACAAGCAATGGGGAAAGGATTCCCTATTTAATAAATGGTGCTGGGAAAACTGGCTAGCCATATGTAGAAAGCTGAAACTGGATCCCTTCCTTACACCTTATACAAAAATCAATTCAAGATGGATTAAAGACTTAAACGTTAGACCTAAAACCATAAAAACCCTAGAAGAAAACCTAGGCATTACCATTCAGGACATAGGCATAGGCAAGGACTTCATGTCTAAAACACCAAAAGCAATGGCAACCAAAGCCAAAATTGACAAATGGGATCTAATTAAACTAAAGAGCTTCTGCACAGCAAAAGAAACTACCATCAGAGTGAACAGGCAACCTACAAAATGGGAGAAAATTTTCGCAACCTACTCATCTGACAAAGGGCTAATATCCAGAATCTACAATGAACTCCAACAAATTTACAAGAAAAAAACAAACAACCCCATCAAAAAGTGGGCGAAGGACATGAACAGACACTTCTCAAAAGAAGACATTTATGCAGCCAAAAAACACATGAAAAAATGTTCATCATCACTGGCCATCAGAGAAATGCAAATCAAAACCACAATGAGATACCATCTCACACCAGTTAGAATGGCAATCATTAAAAAGTCAGGAAACAACAGGTGCTGGAGAGGATGTGGAGAAATAGGAACACTTTTACACTGTTGGTGGGACTGTAAACTAGTTCAACCATTGTGGAAGTCAGTGTGGCGATTCCTCAGGGATCTAGAACTAGAAATACCATTTGACCCAGCCATCCCATTACTGGGTATATACCCAAAGGACTATAAATCATGCTGCTATAAAGACACATGCACACGCATGTTTATTGCGGCATTATTCACAATAGCAAAGACTTGGAACCAACCCAAATGTCCAACAATGATAGACTGGATTAAGAAAATGTGGCACATATACACCATGGAATACTATGCAGCCATAAAAAAGGATGAGTTCATGTCCTTTGTAGGGACATGGATGAAATTGGAAATCATCATTCTCAGTAAACTATCGCAAGAACAAAAAACCAAACACCGCATATTCTCACTCATAGGTGGGAATTGAACAATGAGATTACATGGACACAGGAAGTGGAACATCACACTCTGGGGACTGTTGTGGGGTCGGGGGAGGGGGGAGGGATAGCACTGGGAGATATACCTAATGCTAGATGAGGAGTTAGTGGATGCAGCACACCAGCATGGCACATGTATACATATGTAACTAACCTGCACAATGTGCACATGTACCCTAAAACTTAAAGTATAATAATAAAAAAAAATAAAAGAAATAATAATAAAAAATTAAAAAAATAAAAAATAAATAAAAAAAAAAACTTTCAAAAAAAAAAAAAAGGAATGCATGGGGTAATGAAAACAATTAGAACCCTAAACTTTTTGCATTCTGCTTGGGTCTTCCTCCTATAATTTGCTTAGAATTATCCTGCAATAACCTAAAATTGTAGTCCTCTTCTGTAGAGATGGGAGTTAAGCCACCGAACTTCACTTCTCTCTACCCATCTGCAACTGATGTGTTCGTGATTATGCTAATTATCTTCTTGTTTAAGTGGGGTGTGTTAATGAATTGTAACCTAGGCGGTCGGATCATGAAGTCAGGAGATCGAGACCATCTTGGTTAACACAGTGAAACCCTGTCTCTACGAAAAATACAAAAATTAGCCTGGTGTGGTGGTGCATGCCTGTAATCTCAGCTACTCAGGAGGCTGAGGCAGCAGAATGGCATGAACCCGGGAGGCGAAGCTTGCCTTGAGCCGAGATCGCGCCACTGCACTCCAGCCTGGGCGACAGAGCAAGACTAGGTCTCAAAAAAAAATAAAAATAAAAATAAAGAGAAAGAAAATACAAATGTTAGTTGCCAATATAATTATATTATTACAAAAGCTGCATTGACTTATTTTATCTGATTTCACGTTCATAGAAATCCTATGATATGAGTGTTTTATCCTTATTTTATAGAAAGCTGAGTAGTAGAGAATTGTCACAAATGTTTATACATAATTAATAACACAACCGATAGAATTTGCTAGTGAAGCCATCCTGTCATGGACTTTGTGGGAAGGTTTTTGATTACTAATTCAGTTTATTGTTATGGGTCTATTAAAATGTTCTACCTTGTCTTGAGTCATTTAAGGTATTCTAGGAATTTGCCCATTTCATCCAGGTTACCCAATTTGCTAGCATACAACTGTTCATAGTATTATCTTATAATCTTTTTATTTACCTAAGGTTAACACTAATGTCCCCACTTCCATCTCTAGTTTTCTTTCTCCTCTATATTTTAGTTATTTGTGTTTTCTTTCTTTATTTCTTTGAATCTAGCTAAATATTTGTCAAACTTTGCTGATCTTTCCAAAGAACCAACTTTTGGATCTACTCATTTTCTCTGTTGTTTTTCTATTCTCTATTTTACTTATCTCTGCTCTAGCCTTAACAATTTCCTTCTTTCTGTTAGCTTTGGGCTTAATTTGTTCTTGTTATTTTTTTCTAGTTCTTTGAGGTAAAGTGAGGTTATTGATTTGGGAGCTTTCTTTTTAATTTAAAAAATTATAGCTAGAAATTTCCTTCTGAGCAGTGCTTTTGCTGGATGTCATATATTTTGGTATTTGGGTTTTTGTTTATGGCTATATATTTTCCTCTGTGATTTCTTCTTTGATCCATTCATTGTTTAACAGTGTGTTGTTTAATTGCCAAGTATTTTTGAATTTTCTAGTTTTCCATGTAATTTGTTTTTAGCATCCAACCATTGAGACCTGTTTTGTGGCCTTAATATATAGTACTATATCATGGAGAATATTCCATGTCATGTATTTGAAAAGAATGTGTATTTTGCTGTTACTGGGTGGATTGTTATATATATGTCTGTTAGGTCTAGCTGCTTATATTATTTTTCAAGTCCTTCATTTCCACAGTGATTTTCTATATAGCTGGTCTATCAATTATTGGGAGCTGAATTGTTTATTTTTCCTTTCAATACTGTCAATGTTTCCTTCATATAATTCGGGGACTCTGTTATTTAAAACGCATGCTTATAATTGTTAAATCTTCTTGATGATTTTACATATTTATCAATATATTATGTTCTTATTTGTCCTTTTAACAGTTGTTAATGTAAATTCCATTTTTTTCTGATATTAGTATAGATACCACAGCTCTCTTGCATACTATATCCTTTACATTCTTTTACTTTCAATCTACAGATGTCTTTGTGCTTTGTATTAGTCTCTTATAGACATCATATAGTTGGATCATAGTTTTTCTTCTGTATTATTCATTCTGTCAATTTTGCCCTTTTATGAGTTTAATTCATTTACATTCAGAGTAATCATTAATTAGAAAAAACTTACTTTTGCCATTTTCCTATTATTTCTCTGTTTGTCTTACATAGTGTTTGTCCCTCATATTCTTCATTACTACCTTTGTTGTGTTTAGTTAACTTTTGTACTGAACCATTTTTATTATTTTCTCATTTCATTTTGTGCGTGGTTTTTAGATTATTTTTGTAGTTATCATGAGTGTTACATTTAACATGCTAAATTTAAAACAATTAAATGTTAGCTGATGCCAACTTAACATTAAAAGCATACAGAAACTCTGCTTCTATTCACCCTCATCATCCCTCCTTTATATTGTCATTGTCATCATGAATTGCTTCTTTATGTATAGTGTGCCAAATAATGTAAATTCATAATTTATTTTGCACTTTATTTTATATCTTGTTGGAAAATAGAAAGTGTTGTTACAATAATACCTGCTTTTATATTCACCAATATATTTACTCCTATCAGAGATCTTTATTTCTACATATGGCTTTGAGTTACTGTCTGGCGTCCTTTTATTTCAACCTGAAGGGCTCCCTTTGGCATTTCTTCTAGTGTAGGCATAGTAATAATAAATTCCATCAGCTTTTGTTTATTTGAGAGATGCTTAATTTCTCCCTCATTCTTGAAAGGCAGTTTTGTCATATATAGCTTGATTGTGTCCCAGAGGCCCCTTAGGCTCTGTTCCCTTGTTTTCATTCTATTAGATTGATGCAAAATTAATTGTGGTTTTTGCCATTAAAAATAATGAAAATAATGGCAAAACCACAATTACTTTTGTACCAACCTAATATTTCCTTTTTACTCCTTGGGCTTGATAACTTCAATTGCTCTATCTTCAGGTTCACTGATTCTTCTGCCTGCTAAAATCAGCTATTGAACCCCTACAGTGAAATTTTTATTTTAGTTTTTGTACTATTTAGCTCTACAATTTCTTGTTAATTACTTTTCATAATTGCTCTTAATAGTCAAAATTCTCATTTTGTTCATATGTATTTTTTTTCTGATTTCCCTTAGTTATTTGTGTTTCCTTTTAGCACTTTGAATATATTTAAGATAGTTGTCTAGTAATTTCAATATCTGCACCTTCTGCATGATATATGTCAATTTATTTTGTTCCTTTGAATGAACCGTACTTTGCTGTTTTTGTATGCAATGTTTTTGTTGTTGTTGAAAACTGGACATTTGTGCATTATAATGTGGTAGTTCCAGAAATTACACTCAACCTCTTCCCTAGCTTTTTTTGTCGGGGACTTATTGAAGGTTGTGGTAGCCCATTTGTTTAGGGTCTTTGCCAAACTATTATTGAGAAGACTGTATCCCTTGTCAATGTGGTCACTGAAGTTTCTGTTCCTTAGTTTGTGTTTATTAAATGTTTTGACAGAGGTTTTTTTGAATGCAGGGAATTAAAAAGTGAAAAAAATAAATAAATAAAAGATAGAACAAGAGAAACACACACCTTTCCTAGTCTTTGAAAACTGACTTCGTGCTGGGGCGGTTTCTTAACTCTTATCCAGGCTTGTGCTGAGATTAGGGAGAGCTCAGGGTCTTCTCAGGTTTTTTCTTAGATTCTTACCCTGAGTATCCAGATGCTTTTCTAAGTTCCCCAGTTTACATAGTTGCTTTTGACAAATCATACTTTCTCTCCCACAAAAAACTACCCAGCTTTTGCCTTAGCCAGTTTACCGTACATTTTGAGTATAATCTTTTGCTCTAGGTATGTAAGGATTGTTAGCTTGACTTACAGTGTTATCCAGCAATGCTCTCTGATTTTCCACCAGAATTCCAAGTTAGGCAAAACTGATGAGTTTTGCATAAGTATTTCATGTAGCCCCCAGACAGGTTAAAATAGACATAGCCAATACTTTGTCAATGAGGTCTGTTTTGCTCCCTCTGGAATCAAGGAAACTGCCCGGCTTTGATAACATGAGTTGCTGCCACTTTAAGATCTCTACCATTTTAAACTGCTGCCCTGCCATAATGTGAGTGAGATGAGGGCAAATAAAGTTGCTACAAAACATTCCTATGATTCTGAAGTGACTTTTCTTGATTCAACTGTTACTTGGTTGCTGAAAACTTTTGACTGTTTTTCGGAGTTCCCACAAAATTGATTCTGATGTTTTCTGCTTCTTTTTTACACAATATTTCTGTGGGACAATAAGCTTGAAGATGTCTACGTTGGCAATTTTGCTGACATCATCCCTCAGATATTGGTCTAAAAGCCAATCTTTGTCAAGGAAAAATAATTATATTATTCTAAGGATGTTCTCAATATACTAGGACAACAAGACTTCGCCCCCCGCCCCCCCGACAATAGCCATAGGGTTTTTATTGTTTTAATTTGAAAAGAATCTTTAGAAATGGTTACTCGAAGCCATCTTTAATTATTTTAGTACAATGGCAACAATCAATTCGTATAAAATAATACAAATAAAAAAGTGTATAGTATTGGAGGGTAATGTGAGAATAGTTAGTGTCCCTCATTTGTTGTTTCTGAGATCTTGAATACTATTTGATTTTTCATCTGTGAGTTTAAATTTCATGAGAATTAGGTTTTGTTTGCATCCTGAGTTGTAGACTTGATTGTTTATCCTGAGGTTCCCAAGATTTATTGGTTAAGAACCATATTTCAATTTTTTAGCTTGTGCCCTCTCTATAGTGTGATTCACTCATATGTGGCACCAGCCACAGGTTTCAATTTCTTTTTTCAGTCAAAGATAGGTAAGGAGCCCATTTGTCCTTCACCATCTTAAGTAGATAGGTCAATTTCTATTATATTCTATATTATTGCAGGCTCACGCCTATAATCCCAAAACTTTGGGAGGCTGAGGCAGGTGGATCACCCGAGGTCAGGAGTTCAAGACCAGCCTGGCCAACATGGTGAAACCCCTTGTATATTAAAATACAAAAAATTAGCTGGGCGTGGTGGTGGGCGCCTGTAATCCCAACTACTCAGGAGGCTGACACAGGAGAATCGCTTGAACCCAGGAGGCAGAGGTAGCAATGAGTCGAGATCACGCCATTGTACTCCAGCCTAGGTAACAAGAGCGAAAGTGCATCTCAAAATTAAATAAATAAATAAATAAATAAATAAATAAAGGCACATACCCTTTCATCCCATCCGTAGTTGTGATCATCACTGATATTTATGGTTGCTTTCATGTCTAATTCAAATTACAAAACACAGTTGGAGTTTATCTTTAAGAAAGAAAAAGGCTAGTATTAAATGACCTTGCTTAGCTCAGTACTGCTTTCCTTTTTTCTATTTTTTAAAAATCATTTTGATATTTTTATGTTTAAAAGTATAGTAATTAATACATTTATTTTCTGTTGGCTTTATGTGAATTAAATCTCTCTTTTTATTATTTTTCTTGGTAAATATTTTTTATTCTATTTCATAAAACATTTATTTTCATTATCAGGCTACCATAATATCTTTATGGCAGCTAACAGATATCTGAGCATATATGATATACCAGGCCTTGTTCTATAGGCTGGAGCTCTAACAATAAAAAATTAGAGACAAACTAATTTGGGACTAATTAGATGGGACTAAGCACTCTGAAGAAAATAAAGAATAACACGAGGGTCTACCTGTTTTAGATAAATCATCAGAGATTACCTCTCTGAGGAAGTAACACAAAATTAGGCAGGCATGTTGACATGCGCGTGTAATCTCAGCTATACTTGGGAGGCTGAGGCAGGAGAATTGCTTGAACCCAGGAGGCGGAGGTTGCAGTGCGCGGAGATTGTGCCACTGCACTCCACCCTGCATGACAGGGAGAAACTCCGTCTCAAAAAAAAAAAAAAAAAGAAAATAACAAACAAGTATGGTTACAAGAATAAAAATAAGTGTATTCTTTTGTTGTTGTTGTTGTTGTTGAGATGGAGACTCGCTCTGTCACCCAGGCTGGAGTGCAGTGGCCCAATCTCGGCTCACTGCAAGCTCCGCCTCCCGGCTTGACGCCATTCTCCTGCCTCAGCCTCCCGAGGAGCTGGGACTACAGGCGCCCACCACCACGGCCGGCTAATTTTGTTTTTTTATATATATATTTTTAGTAGAGACGGGGTTTCACCATGTTAGCCAGGATGATCTCAATCTCCTGACCTCATGATCCGCCCGTCTCAGCCTCCCAAAGTGCTGGGATTACAGGCGTGAGCCACCGTGCCCAGCGCGTATGCTTTTAAAAACATGATTAGGAAAATTTAAGTGCTCTGCCAACCTTTTTAGTAAAATTATGAATACACTTAATAAAAAGTTATAGGTTTTTACCTCCACTGGTGAAGTAATAACTCAGTTCTGATGAGACTTTTCTCACTATAAACCACTAGAGAATTGGACACATTATATGGAATAACTGTCCTCAGATATTAGGCAACAGGTAGTACAGAGTAATGATTCATGAGGAAAAAAATAGAAATAAGGTTATCCCTGTGAGAACTATGGCTTTCTGCTACAAGGCAGTTTCCAGACATCACGGCAGAAAATGGGAACTCAAATAGAGCATGATATTTCAGCTATGTTGAGCAGAAAGACACTGGTGTTTGGGGAGGCAGAGAGGGGCTATAATTTATGGGACATAGCACCAGTGAAGGAAATTAATTTAGGGAAAAAAGGTTTTTTAAAACTATTTTAAATATGTCACGATAAATTCTTATTTGACATCATTCATTAGTTCTTGACAACTGCAGCTTTAAGAGAAATAACATACAGCAGATTTTCTAATAATGTAATTTCATTTAATGTAATTTTGTCATAACATCAGTGAGAAGAAAAATGTTTTTGTTACATATAGTTTCACTTAAATTTGCAGTTTCCAAGAACCTATCAACTACCTTAAGTGCAGACTTATTGTGTGCATATACAATATTTTATGTATTATATTACATTTATAAATATTTAAATATACATTTAAATATTCAAAAGAAAATAAATGAAGATAATTATAAAATGGAAGTAATCAAAATAACCAAAGGAACTTGTAATGATAAAAAATGCAATATTGAACTGAAAGAGTTACTGGAAAAGATTAGGGCAGATTAGACACTTTGGAAAAAAAAATCGGTGGCATTTAAGACATAACAAGAAATATCAAAAATAAGCACAGAAAGAGAAAATATTGAAATGGAAAACAAACCTCTGTGACTGGTGGAATGATATTAAGTTTCTCACATAGATTAGGAGTTCAAATAGAAGAGGGAGCAGACGGAAGGAAAGAATAAAATATTTGAAGAAATCATATTCAAATATTTTCAATTTTGATGAAAACTATGAATCCACAGATTCAAAAAAAAAACTTTAATGAACCATAAGAAGGATAAAAACAAAGAAAATGATGACAAGACACATAATTAAATTGCATAAAACCAGTGAAAAAGAAAATTTTATAGAGAACCAATGAAAACAGATAACATTTCACTCAAAGGAAAAAAGATAATGTCAGCAATTTATGGTAAAATATAGACATGTGAAGTCAATAGAAAAGCGTCTTTAAAGTAGTAGAAGAAAAAATTCGACTTATATTTCTAAATTCAGAAAAAATATCTTCAAAAACTAAAGGTCTTGAAATAAAGACTTCTTCAGACAAATAGAAGGTGAGAAAATCTATTGCCAGTAGATTGGCACTATAAGAAATGTTAAATTTATTTTTTAGGTGACAGGTAAATGATCTCAGATGGAAAACTGAATCTACATAATGGAGTGAAGAACACAGGAAATTACACATTTAATGTAAATATAAAAATATTTTTTCTCATTTGTGCATTTAAAAATATGTATCTGATTGCTTAAAACAATGATAATAACTGTTAACTAGATTAGTACAAATCCATATCCTAGAGGCCTAGAAGAAAAGAAGTGTTCATTTCCAGGCATAAAAACTATGTATTTATCCTCAATTTCTACTCTCCTCTAGAAGATGTCTGGCTATCAGTAAAAAAACAAAAACAAACAAACAAAATAGAGAGAGACTTACAAAATACAGAATAAAACAACCTTTTCTAAGAGTCACAGTTATCCTCAGAAATAATAGACTCAAGTCTATTTTTCTTGACCAGCACAAACATTGAAACTGTCTCACAAGAAATTCAAAAGATGATAGATTTAAACTATTTATTAACAAATTAAAGGATAAGTAATCCAACGTACCAATTAAAAGAAATTTTCCATCTTTCAAAGCAAGACCCAACTGTATGTTATATATAAGAAACCAATTAAACATATAAAAATACATATAGCTTAAATTTAAAAGGATGAAAAAGATACACAGTCAGGCATTCACAATCAAGATACATTTTGAGACATCCACTGGTAGATTTTCATCCTGTGAACATCAAGGAGCATGCTTACACAACTCTAGATGGTATAGCCTACTACACACCTATGATATATGGTAAAGCCTATTGCTGCAGGCTACTAACCTGCACAGCATGATACTGTGATGAATACTGTAGGCAACTGTAACACAATGGAAGTATGTATCTATCTATATATACCTAAAATTTAAAGGTATGGTAAAAATACAGTGGAAAAATTAAACAGTACACCTATATAGGGCAGCTTCATTATAATCTTATTGGAACACTGTCCATTGTTGTATATGCAGTCTGTTGTTGACCAAAATTTTATTATGTGGCACATGACTGCACCATAAAAATAAACTAAAATTGAAAAATGTTTACCAAAATAATTGGCCAATACTCTTCAAAAGTATCAAGAAAAAGAACAACTAGTAAACATTACGGAACATTCATTGAATGGGGAACACTAAGCGGACATAAAATCTAAACAATACAGTTGGTCTTGATTTGATCCTGAAACATAAAAAGTATTTCAGTAAAAAAAAAAAAAAAATGCTGAAATCAAAATAAAATAGTTTAGTTAATAATATTGTAGTGACCTTGATCTCTTAGTTTTGATAATTGTGCATTGCTATGTAAGTGATTTGCATTTGGGAAAGTTAGGTGAAGAATATATGGGAAATCTTTGGATTATTTCTACAACATTTCAGATAATGTGAAACTATTTCATTGAAACAGTAAAAAAGAAAGAAACTTTTTAAAAAGTAGGTAAGTCCATAAAAAGGGAAAAATAATTTCTCTTTAATGAAAATGTAATCCTGTCTCAGATTTTTACTTTATATTTCAGTCCACTAATATTTCTTTATGTACAGTAGATGTTGTCTTTGTAATATGGAAATGAAACTGATAGTATGCTGCATTTAAAATAAAATAACATCATTTGAGTCTTTGCCTAATGAAAATCCTAGTGGTGTTTTTCTTGGACATCCCTATTTTTTCTTATTAGCAGGAAACTGTCAATGAAGTCAGAAAAAAAAAATTCCTTGAATTTTTTTGGTCACTATCACCATACTACATTGTAGATTTAAAAAGCATATATGCTGTGAACACTGTTTCAATTTCAATGTTGTTGTTTTTTTTGACGGAGTCTCTCTCTATTGGCAGTGCAGTGGTGTGATGTCGGCTCACTGCAACCTCCACCTCTTGGATTCAAGCAATTCTCCTGCCTCAGCCTCCCGAGTAGCTGGGAATACAGTGTGCACCACCACACCCAGCTAATTTTTGTATTTTTAGTAGAGATGGGGTTTCACCATGTTGGCCAGGATGGTCTCCATCTCTTGACCTCGTGATCCACCCACCTCAGCCTCCCAAAGTGCTGGGATTACAGGCGTGAGCCATTTTGAGACAGAGTCTAGCTCTGTCGCCCAGGCTGGAGTGCAGTGGCGCAATCTCGGCTCACTGCAACCTCCGCCTCCCAGGTTCAAGCAATTATCTACCTCAGCCTCCCGAGTAGCTGGAATTACAGGCACCCACCACCATGTGCAGCTAATTTTTGTATTTTTAGTAGAGACGGGATTTCACAATGTTGGCCAGGCTGGTCTTGAACTCCTGACCTCGTGATCCACCCTCCTTGGCCTCCCAAAGTGCTGGGATTACAGGCGTGAACCACCACACCTGGCCTCAATGTTCTTACTGAGACTATATGTATGTGTAACTTAATATATTGAGGTGCCAAATTTTGAATGGAATATGATAATTAGAGTTCGAAAAAGTAAGACTGAGGGGTTTTCACACTTATCAGTACATCACAGTCACCTGGGGAGCCTTTTAAAATTGCATATTCTATGATTCCACAGTCAGAGTTTATTAAAACTGAATTGGTGTAAGAGAAAATGTATATTTAATAGGTCCCCAGGTGATTTTGATAAAGTTCCAGGTCTGGATACTATTGTCATAAGCCAAACTTCAAATATAGCCATTTAATTCTTAATAATATAGCATAAGATAACAGAGTATAGTGCTTCAAAATCAGGAAACCGTAACATATTTCTACAAGAAGTGCACTTGGGAATTTTCTAGGCTTCCTAAAAATCCCATTTTTTAAATCTCAAAAGAAATCAAGATAGTAATATATGCCATTTAATGTTATGATTGTTACAACAGTGTCAGTACGTCATATTCCTGACATGTAACAAATGTTTTATAAATTATGAAATGTCAAAAATACATATATGTAAAATTTAGATATTTTACATACTATCCTATTAAACATAAAATATGTAAGTATATAATACATATAAAGGGAATATATGTATATGCAGAATATTATATATTGAATATAAAGATTGTTTTGATATATATGCTTGCCTTAAGAGTTAATAAAACTTGTACTAAGCTGAAATATTTTCAAGGACAGCGCTGTCTTCTTCATTTCTTTACCACTATTACCGTATTTGAAAGAATAGATAAATAATGATATGCATTACCAATGTCAATCTAATCGCAGGTGTAATTATTTATATTTGTACATTTTTTTTTATTTTTTCAGGTGCTGATCACTTAATCGAATTCTATGTGTGATATTACCTAAAGCACAACTGACAAAAATCTAACAGCCCTTTCTCTCATATGCATGAGTAAAAGGTATCAAGAAATCCCAAGAATAATTGTAAAGGGATATCCTATTCGCACAGAAATTATCTGTATCTGAAGAACTTTATTGAGAAGACATGGTAATCCTTTAAAAGTTGATAAAGCTATAAGCATAATAAGGATACAGTTTTTCTTTCCTTGAATACCACTATATTTCCTTCATATGTACCAACAATTTCTCTTTAGTGACAACTTTCCAAGAGGTTACATACCATTTTTTAAATGATGAAAACACTAATAAATATGTGCCTTCTGTAGAAGAAAAGTAAAATGTTGGAAATTTCTAAGGATCAGAAAAAAAAGAATGGAGTAGACTCTTTTATCTATTAACACATAGAAAAAAAATTAACAATATAAAAACTTTAAATTATTTTTTTATTTTCCATTGTTCCATGTAACCTTTCTTCCATTGTTCAATTATTCTACTGAGACCTAGAGCAATTATTTTCTAAAGGTATTCTACATATTTTCTGGAAATGAGGCATTTATGTGATCATAAAATATCTTGCTTCCTGGAATAGCAATATGATATGAATGCACTCTAAATCTTGTATTGTTGAAATAGGAAAAGTTAGTGATGACTTGAAGACTTAAGCAATACCATTGGGTCATGGAGAGCTAAACCTCTTTAAAACACAAATTTAGATGTTAAATTTTCAAAATTTCACTTTCTTTTCTACCCAACCTGTAAACAATATAAAATATAAACTAATTTGTGTGCATTCTACTCTGTATCATAAAAGAAATTTTGAGTTATTTCATTTGCATTTAATCATTATTTGTGCCTATAAGACAATAATCTTCAAACTTAGATAAGGCAAAGCTCTTATAAAGTTTAAGATGTTGATTTTGAGCTTGTGTTTTGAAAACTACTTATCTCCTTTATAAAATCAATTGACGCATGTAAAAATAATTTCCTTCTGAGGAACAACACTTTTGTTAGCATAATTAAAATAAAGATAAAAGAATCGGCCGGGCGCGGTGGCTCACGCCTGTAATCCCAGCACTTTGGGAGGCCGAGGCGGGCGGATCACGAGGTCAGGAGATCGAGACCATCCCGGCTAAAACGGTGAAACCCCGTCTCTACTAAAAATACAAAAAAAATTAGCCGGGCGTAGTGGCGGGCGCCTGTCGTCCCAGCTACTTGGGAGGCTGAGGCAGGAGAATGGCGTGAACCCGGGAGGCGGAGCTTGCAGTGAGCCGAGATCCCGCCACTGCACTCCAGCCTGGGCGACAGAGCGAGACTCCGTCTCAAAAAAAAAAAAAAAAAAAAAAAGATAAAAGAATCGATTTTACTTATATTCTATGACAGCCCCATTTTTTTTCTAAAAACTATTCTATTTTATATTTCATGTCAACTATTTAGGTTAAACTCATATCTAAAGTTTACGTATTTTATGGTTCTAGCATCCACTTAATGTTTACTTAATGTACACTTACTCCCATGTACAATGTACTCAATGTACAACGAAGTAGGTACTTCGTTGTGTGCATCTATGAACACTTAGAAGAGTCAGCTATGATCTGAAATAGGTGAAATCCAAGGTCCAATTTACTGACCATGATGAAATTTATGACACTTATAAATACCTCGCATAATAGATAAAATTGGCTTAGGTATATTAAAAGATTGCTCAGTAGTGCCAAATGGCAATCCACTGCTTTATTATTAATTTATCTATAGGACTTGTTTTGGATCTTAAAATTATCATAGTTCGAGCAAACATTTATTGGACAGCTAGTATGTTTCAAGTACCATACTTAGCATTTTATCTATATTATCACACTTAAGCTTCAAATAACTCTGTGATACGGGAAATATTATCTGTTTTATAAAAAGAGTAAATAAATAGCCTGTCTACAGTGTCAAAATGAGTAAGTAACAGAACTGGTTTCAAACCAGATTATTGGATTCAAAAGCTCATGGGCTTAATAAGTCTGCATAGTGAAAAAATCCCTGGAAGAGCAGTCACTGGGGAGATAATTGCTTATGATCATGCAGTATAAAATGGCCTTAAATATCCCACCACTGAGAAAGTCTTTGCCCCCTCAATATACGCCACAAGGGATATAAACTATAACTTTGCTCTTTAAATGATTGCCCAGCAAGTGGAAAGCCTTTTTTAAGAAGTCATAAGGAGGAAATGAACTAGTTCAAAAATCCCTCATCAGCTTTGTGCAGAAGGCAAACTCTTTTGTACAAATGCATTGTGCTGTAAACAGTTCCATTATTAGCTAATATTCCTTCCCAGCAAATAAAATGTGACATAACAATAAATTTCTATTCACCATGCAACTTCTGATGAACAATAAGTAACATTATCCAAAAGGCAAAAGGCCAATTTTTTCTACTTATTAACGGTTTGAGTAGCAACTCGACAGAAACAGGCAACATGACGTTTATTATGTCTCAAGATAAAGTTGGAAAAATTTAAATCTTGATTGGGAAGGTTATTTTAGAATTTTAGACTGAGAAAAAACCACAAAGATTATATTGCCCATTTTCTATAATTTACGGTGAAGAAATTCAGACTCAGGAAAGTTAAGTGGCTTATTCAGGGTCACACAGCTGACTATTGGCAAATCTGAAAATAGAATGAAGTCTTTTGTGCTTTTCTAATGCACTACGTTCTTTATTGAGGCTGACTTGAGACACTGGTTTAGACATTTAATCAAAATGGAATTATTACTTGTTTCTTCTCTTAATCTCAACCAAAGTTAGCACTCCCTATTGCTAAAACCAAAATCTTGCGTTATCCTGAATTTTGATCTTTTTCAATACATAATTCATTTATCTGTACTTTGAACCATGCATTTTACATATTCATTTATATTTAATTGTTGGTTTTGAAAACTTAAATGTAAGGTTTATAGAAAGGAGCTTTATCTTTTTCACCACTATTTCCAGCAGGGTGACCAACCATCCTGGTTGGCCTAGAACTACACAGTTCCCTGGATGTGGGGTTTTCAGTGCTAAAACAGGAAATGTCCTTGGAAAATTGGGATGAGTTAGTCATTCTATAAGGGCTTAAGCATATAGCTTTTACAGCTTCTGCATCTCACTTTTCTAAGGGGTAACATTAACATTAGAATCATCCTAAATTTTTTAAATTATTACCAACACATTCTGGAAGATGACAGCAATGTGTCTCAATTTGTATATAGTTACTGTTTGATTTGGGGTAGTGCTGGTTCTATCCTCATTTTAAAGGACAGTATAAGACTCAGCATGGTAGCTTATGCTCATAATCTTAGTTCTTTAGGAGGCGGCAGCAGGGGGATTGCTTGAGGCCAGACTGGGCAATGTAGAGAGACCTCTGTCTCTACAAAAAAAAAAAAAAAAAAAGAAGCCAAGCATGGTGATGTGTCCCTGTAGTCCTAGCTACTTGGGAGGTTGAGAAGGGTTCACTTGAACCCAAGGATCACTCGAACCCAAGAGTTTAAAGTTTCATTGAACTCTGATCGTGCCACTGCACTCCAGCCTGGGTAACAGGGTAAGACCCTGTCTCAAATATAAACAAATAAAAATAAAGGATAGTGTATGTTATACAGCAGTCAGTCAATCAGTATTTGTTGCCCAACATATATGTTAAAATTTTAACAATAAAGGAATCACATGCAGTTGTGATGTCTGATGACAGGTGGTTTATCTATTTATCCATTGCATGATTACTCAGTCTCAAATTTTGGGCTGAATAGTTATTTGTTTGTTAAGATGGTAGGTTGTTGTAAGATGCTTACCATTATATATGCATATATGTGTGTGTGTGCATATATATGTCCCTGTATATGCACACATGCACAGACACAGATTTATACATATATAACATACATACTATACATATATATTAATATGTGTGTGTAAAAAAACTAAGAATAACCACATGGATGCTATATATATATGCATACACATTGTCTTAAACTGCTGTTATTTTATTGTTTGGCTCAGAGTTGTCAAATAATACCAGTTAGAAAGAGTACACAGAAAAAAATTAAAGATTGTTTTTGGTTTCAAGAAATAGACAGCAAATCCCATCACTATAGGAATCCCTTAAAAATGGCTTTTAAATTAATCTCAACAGAGTGGCCATCACTATAATGAGTGGGGCTCGGCAGAACTACCTAAGGCTCCATTCTCCTGCTGTGACAAACAACAAACCCTATACTTAGAGTCTGCCTACATTGCTGAGTGAAATCTGTCATGTTACTTCCTACATAGCCCCTGAATGTATTTGTGGTGTGGGACTGCTCTACAAAGCCTTGATAGAATTGTAGTTATCAGCTATTCACTGCTATCACAAACCACAAAATTACTATTTTTTTTTTTTGCAGTTATCTACTTTCAATACTTCTTCCCAACCCTTCAATGACTAGTTTAGGTGTCTGGTAATTTTCTTTGGACCTCAACATCATCTTTGTTCACAGCTAGACTTCTTTTATTCATTGTTATGACAAACATCTTTACAAAAGCCTCTCTAATATGTTTTTTATAGAGGCCATTTTGTGGCTTTTTTATCCCTTCCTTTTGATCTCTTGATCAAAATTACCCTAATGGAGTTTTTCATACATAATGCCAAGCACTTAATTACAAATTATCAGTCATAAAGGACCAAAAGCAAGAGAAAGTAAATAGATAACAGAAACAGACCCTCAGAAAAATTATAGATTGCAGTTAACAAACACAAATTTAATATAAATAATACTAGCATTTTCAAGAAAACAAATAAAAGGGAATTCCAGCAGGGAAGTTGGTCAATAAAATAGAATCAAGTACAAATTCTAACGTTACAATACAAATTAATAGACATTAGAAACACAAGAAATTAAGAATATAGGCTCAGAGAATTCAGGGGAACTTGAGGATTCAATATTCTCAAATGACCCTATTCATATATCTCCAGTCCAAGTCTAACAGTCCAATCTCTTCTCTATGAAAGCTCTGAAATTGGTATAAGAGAAGTGCATCGGGCAGGGGCCAAAAGCAAAGAAAGCGCATAGTCTCTGATGGAAACTAGCTTTAATCTGATCTCATTGGGATAAACTGAATCACAACTATACATCAAACCGGCCCCCCTCAAGGAAAGGGGTTCAGCTATTGGTATTAATATGTCAGTTAACTGTCAGCTGATTGTCAAAGATAAGGATGAGGATGGGGGAGTTGGACAGAAATTCCCTGAGTAGATGGTTCTATCTGGTCAACAAAAATTCTGCAGATAAAGGATAAAGCTGTGAGCTGTAGGAGTGTACATGCCAGTAAAAATGAGCTGGGTGGGTATATTAGTTAGAGTTTTTCAGAGAAACAGAACCAATAGGAAAAATATGTATTCCTACCTATCTAGTAATATAGATATATCGTGTGAACTAATTCTGTATAATAAATGTCTTATATATGCCTGTGTTTATATATATATATATATGGTACACACACATACACACAC
This sequence comes from Homo sapiens, assembly GCF_000001405.40. Lineage (NCBI taxonomy): Eukaryota > Metazoa > Chordata > Mammalia > Primates > Hominidae > Homo > Homo sapiens. The sequence goes on from NC_000012.12 coordinate 74,000,344, forward strand.
ACGAGAGATCTTCAAAAATTTTATGAAAAATGCATATTTTTTAAAAACTATGCATGGATTTCAAAATATTTTTGCACCAAAGTAGATTTGTACTAACTTGTTATAACACATCTGAACAAGATCTAGTGTGAGGCACTAAGAAGGGTAAGACATCAGTCTGAAAAGAGGCTCTATCAGCATATGAATTTTGCAAAAATTGAAGCAAAAACAAACATCAATTTTATGGTGAAGCTTGGGTGGAAGAATGGTGAAATCATTAATCCTTTATGAAAAGTTTATGGAAACAATGACCTAAAGAAATCAGCAGCAGCTTACAAATGGATAATTCATTTTAAGGGAGACAAAATGGTGTTAAAGATGAAGCCTGCAGCAATAGATCATTCACATCAATTTGTGAAAAAGAAATTAATTTTGTTTATGCCATAACTGAGGAAGACTAATTATTAACAGCAGAAACAATAGCCAATATCAGAGGCATCTCAATTGATTCAACCTACACAATTCTGACTGAAAAACTGAAGTTAAGCAAACTTTCCACTTGATGAGTGCCAAAATTGTTGTACCCAGATTGGCTGCAGAGAAGAGCAGAGCTTTCAATGGAAATTTTAAGCAAGTAGGATCAAGATCCTGAAGCATTTATTTGTATAATTGTAACAGGAAATAAAACATGGCTTTACCAGTACAATCCTGAAGACAATGCACATAGCAATGGCTATCAAGAGTTGGAAGTGATCCAGTCAAAGCAATAGTAGCATGAGCAAAACAAAGCAAATGCTATCATGAGCAAAGGTCATGGCAACAGTTTTGGGGAATCCTCAAGGCATTTTGCTTGAGCATTCCTCAAAACTAGCTGGACCCCTTGCCTCGAGGAGAGGACAATTTGGTGTATATTTTTTGCCTCAGATTAGGGCGCAAAGTGAGATCAGATTAAAGCTAGTCTCCATCAAAGACTATGTGCTCTTTTTGCTTTTGGCCCCTCCCCAATCTACTTTCCTCAGCTTTCTTATTCCAAGAGAATATCCAATATTTATTGGCTTTCTGGAGAGACAATGAATAATAACATCTGCTTATTGTGAGAGTGCTTTGAGAAAGGGAAAGTTTTAACAGAAAAACACCTGTGAAAGCTTCACCAGAGAGTCCTCTACTATGATAATGCTTCTGCTCATTTCTATCATCAGAAAGGGGCATTTTTATAAGTGTTTTGATGGGAAGTCATTAGGCATCTACCATACAGTCAATTTAGCCCTTTCTGACTCCTTTTTGTTTCTTAATCTTAAAAAAAATCTTTAACGGGTACCCATTTTTACTTTAGGTAATAAAGTAAAAAAGACTGTATTTATGTGGTTAAGTTCCCAGGAGCCTTAGTTCTTCAGGGATGGACTAAATGGCTGGTATAATCGCTTAAAATAGTGTCTGGAACTTGCTGGAGCTTGTTTGAGCAATAAAGTTGATATGCTTTATTTTTGTCTTTGAATTTTTAATGAATTATTGAAGTTCCCTCATATCGTGTCAGCCAACTCCTTATAATAAATTTTTCTCATATGACATATGTATTATAAGGAGTTGGCTCACATCATTATAAAAGCTGAGAAGTCCCACAATCTGGTGTAACATCAGTCTGAATCCAAAGACCTGCCAACCAGGAGATCCAATGGTACAAGTTCTAGTTTGAGTCCAAAAGCTTGAAAAACGGGACAGCTGATGGTGTGATTCTAGGTCAAAAGTCAGCAGGCTTGAGACCCAGGAAATGTTGATGTTTCCATTCAAATTAGAAGACAGGAAAAGACTGATGTCCCAGTTCGAGGTAGTCAGACAGAAAGGAGTACCTTTTTACCCAGTCTTTTTGTTACATTCAGGTCTTCAATTGATTGAAAGTGTTAATCTGATCCAGAACACCCTCACAGACACATTGTGGATAATGTCTGCCAAATTTCTGAGTATTCTGTGGCTTAGTCACATTGATGCATAAAATTAATTATCACAGCAGGCAACACAGCATCTAATACATCTAAGGAAAAGTGCATATGCAAGTAAATCAAGATGATTATCAAATAATAGGATTTAAATATATGAAGAATTACAATACTTGACAAAATCACATAAAAGGCAGAAAGGATAAATATAATTAATAAGGTCTTTGTATTTGAAAATAAATGATAAAGTAATAATTTAAATTAGAAAACATGCCAAGGTGCTTTCTTTACTTATTTAAATATGACTTAATCTAAAAGTTATTCTAGCTAATAGAAAAATATATAACTAAAGATGCAATAAAAATAGAGAAATGGAAAATAATACCATAATAATAACAATAAAATATTGGTTAACACAAAAGCCAAAAAAGAAGGAAGAACATAGAGATATAGGACAACATTATTTTTAAATATATTAATAAGTGGCATATTTAAAACCACATATATCAGTAACTACATTAAAAAGTAGTAGACTAAGTAATTTCCAAATTTATAATTGTATTAAAAATATCTAATTTTATGCTCTTTTTGAGATACAGAGTTGAACATATTTGCACTGTAAAGCTGAATTGAAAGGATGGAAGAAATTATAGCAGACAAATATTAACCAAAAGAAGGCTGGAATACCTGCAATGTAATATGAAAAGTAGAATTTAATATAAGAACGATAGCTAAGATGAATAAGTGTATTTCATAATGATAAACATGTCCATCCCCAGGAAAATTTTATGAATCTAAATATGGATTCAGTTCTTAGCATGGTCTCAAAATGCATAAAACAGATGGATATTAATAAAAGGAGGAAAGAGCAAATCTCCAATTATACTCATAAATTTTCACACATATCTCTCAGTAAGGTATAGAAAAAGTAGACCAAAATATTCGTGAAGGATATAGTATATTTGAAAAATAACATTTGCAACTTTATCTAATTGACATTGATATAATATTACATTAAAACTGGAGAATTCAACTTTCTTTGAGTGTATATGATACATTTACCAAATTGGCCATGTGTGCTGCCATAAAGCAAATATTACTTTTGTCATAGAATTACAATAAATGAAATATGTTCTCTGATAATAGTAAGAAGATAGACATTCATAATAAAAAAATAAAATTTTTATACATTTATAAATTAAGTGACTCATTTCTAAATAATCCATGAGTCAAAAAGGAAATCACATTAAAAAAGGAGAAAGTGATTTTAAATTAAATAAAATTGCACACTAAATATAGTAGTGGATAAACCTAGGACAGTAGACAAGAAAAATATATGTTTATACTGAAAGATTTTTTAAAAACTTAAGTGAACTAAACATCTGTCAAAATGAATCATGGATAGAAATTCAAAGTAAACCAAAGAAAATAGAGAAATAGAAATAATAAAAATAGGAACAAAAATTAATGATACACAATACAAACAAAATAAAGGGAATAATACTTATTTGATAATTGAAAGAAATCTAGTAAGACTAATAAGAAAAAAGAGTAAAACAAAAAATTACACATATCAGGAATTGATAAGGACATTTCTACAAAGCCTACAGACACTTACATGATAATAATAATAGAATATTATGAGTAAATTTAAAACAATACTTTTGAAAATTTATAACTAATTAATAAAATCCTAGAAGAAAATACCTCCTACCCAAGCAGGCATGGACACATAATGAAAGTCTGAAAACATATACATAAACACTCACACACGTACACACACACACACACTCACACAAATATATAAAGAAAATCTAAAAGAAAAATCTTTGCCTAAAGAAAACTCCTCTAGGCCAAAATGAATTTACCAATTGTTTCCAAACATTTACAGAAAAAATTATCCTTTCTAATTTACAACATTAAGAATAAAAAAAGAAAATCGTATGATCATTGTGACACATTCAGAAAAAAGCATCTGGTAAGATCAAAAGTCATTCATTCTCTAACATATTTTTTCTCATATATATGTCATGTGTATATACATATATGTGTGTGTATATATGCTTAAATATATGCAAAAGACAAGTCAATAAAATAAAATACGAGTAGGGATCTCACAAAAAAGTTATCAATCTCTATGGCTGGCTACTAGAAATAATATTCAACCTTAGTAGTCGTCAAAAAATTACAAATTAAAACCACCATTTGGCATCACTACATACCTACCAGAATGCTTAAATTAAAACAAATGACAATATTAAATTTTTCTGAGGATTTGGAGCAAATGAAGATTTTATTTATATCTAATACAAAAAAGTATAGTATTATTTAAAATTTCCAAAAACTGGTAACAAAGTGAAAGGCTATCATCAAGAGAATGGACAAATGCCTTTTTTATATTTGTAAAATGGTATGCTAAACATCAGTGAAAATGAACAGAATGCTGCTGTGTGCCACAACATGGATGAATGTCCTGGATGTGATACCAAACACAAGAAGCCACACACAAATGACTGCTTATTTTATGATTCCCAAAGCTGATAACATTAATTAATGATGTTAGAAGTGAGAGTGATCGCCCAGGCATGGTGGCTCATGCTTGTAATCCCAGCACTTTGGGAAGCCGAGGCAGGTGGATCACCTGAGGTCAGGAGTTCAAGACCATCCTGGCCAACATGGTGAAACCCCATCTCTACTAAATATACGAAAATTAGCCGGGCATGGTTGTGGGGGCCTGTAATCCCAGATACTCAGGAGGAGCTACTGTGAACCTGGGAGGCAGTGGTTGCAGTGAGCTGAGATTGCGCCACTGTACTCCAGCCTGGGCAAAAAGAGCAAAACTCCGTCTCAGAAAAAAAAAAAAAAAAAGTGACAGTGATCTTCGCCACTGCACTCCAACCTGGGAAACAGCAAAACTCCGTCTCAAAAAAAAAAAAAAAAAAAAAGAGTGTGAGTGTGATCTTCGCCACTGCACTCCAGCCTGAGAAACAGCAAAACTCCGTTTCAAAAAAAAAAAAAAAAAAAAAAAAAATAGTGAGTGTGATCTTTAACTCTGTGGAAGAGAGAGACACAATCACCAGAAGGAGAGACAACGTAAGAGGCCTTTAGGATGTAGATAATATTGTATTCCATGATTTGAATTGTGGTTACACAATCATGTTAATTTTTGAAAATTCTTCAAGCCATGCACTTTCTGTATTTTGTCAGTCATTGAAGAATATGATTTGTGCAATTCTCTATGTTATGCTCCATAAAGAAAATTATTTAAAAATAACACAGCTTGAATATTTCATTCAGTTTGTTGGGCTCTGATTCTTGACGGTAGCACAAGAAACTGGGAGGTTTACATGGTGCCCAGAAAATGAAGTAAAGTATTTTTGTTCATGTCAATGTCTCTGGGAGGTTTACATGGTGCCCAGAAAATGAAGTAAAGTATTTTTGTTCATGTCAATGTCTCTCTTTACCTTTTCTCCACCGCTAAATCTTGCAGCTCTAGAGTTTTATTATGTGTTACTTGCAACTTGTCACTAATCAGTTAAATGAACTAATAAAAAGATCTTTTCTTCTCATTACTGCTCTCAGAGCCTCATTACTTAATATCCAGCACCAGTGGCAACTAAGAGCCAATATTTTTACTCCTGACTGTAATTCTGGTTTAGGTCTAATTTTCTTTCTTACCTCTCTTCTGAGTGAAAAAGGACACAAAGAAAACTACAAGCCAATATCTCTGGTGAATGTTGATGCAAAAATCCTCAATGATATACTAGAAACCGAATTCAACCATACATTAGAAAGACCATTCATCATGACCAAGTGGGATTTATCCCTGGAATGCAAGAAAGGTTCAAAATATGCAAATCAATGGGATACATCATTTCAACAAAATGAGGGATAAAAAGCATTTCAATTGCTGCTGAAAAAGGATTTGATAAAATTCAACTTTCTTTCATGATAAAAACACTCAAAAAATTGGGCATAGAAGGAACATACCTTGACATAATAATAGCCATATGCAATAGACACACAGCTAGTATCATACTGAATGGGGAAAAACTGAAAGCCTTTCCTCTGTAATCTAGAACATGAAGAGAATGCCCACCAACACCGTTGTTATTCAATATAGTGCTGGAAGTCCTACCTAGAGCGATCAGACAAGAGAAAGAAATACTGGGCATCCAAATTAGAAAGGAAGAAGTCAAATTATCCTTGTTTGCAGATAATATGATTTTATATTTGTATAAACCTAAAGAATCCACAAGAAAACTGTTAGGACTGACAAACAAATTTCAGTAAGTTGCACAATACAAAATATGCAGACAATAATCAGTAGCATTACTATATGCCAACAGTAAATAATGTGAAAAAGAAATGTAAAAAAGTAATTTTATTAATAATAGTCACACATAAAAATTAGACACCTAGGAATTAACCAAAAACATGAAAGTTATCTATAATGAAAACTATAAAAGAAATTGAAAGGAATCACAAAATGGAAAATAGTTCATGAAAGAAATTGAAGAAGACAATTAAAATGGGAACGTATTTTATGTCCATGGATTGGAAGAATCATCATTGTTAAAATGTTTATACTAACTACAGCAATGTGCAGATTCAATGCAATTCCTATCAAACTGCCAATGACATTCTTCACAGAAATAGGAAAAACAAATCTAAAATTTATACCAAACCATAAAAGACCCAGAATAGCCAAAGCTATCCTAAGCAACAAGAACAAAACTGGAGGAATCACATCATCTGACTTCAAATTATTCTACAGAGTTATAGTAATCTAAACAGCATGGTACTGGCATAAAAACAGACACATAAAACAATGAAATAGAATAAAGAACCCAGAAAGAAATCCACACACCTACAGTGAACTCATTCTTGACTAAGGTGCCAAGAACATACACCAGTGAAAAGACAATCTCATGCTGGGAAAACTGGACATTCATATGCAGAAGAATGAAACTAGACACTTCTCTCTTGCCATATACAGAAGTCAAATCAAAATGAATTAAAAAGTTAAATCTAAGACCACAAACTGTGAAACTACTACAAGAAAACTTTGGAGAAATCTCCAGGACATTTGTTTGATCAAAGATTTCTTGAGCAATACCCCACAAGCACAAGCAATCGAAGTACAAATGGACAAATAGGATCCTCACATCAAGTTAAAGGCTTCTGCACAGCAAAGGATACAATCAACAAAGTGAAGAGAAAGCCCAAAGAATGGGAGAAAATATTTGCAAGCTATCATCTGACAGGAGATTAATAACCAGAACACATAAAGAGCTCAAGTTACACTATAGTAAAAAAAAAAAAAAGTCTAACAATTTGATCAAAAAATGGGCAAAAGATTTTAATAGACATTTCTCAAAAGAAGATATGCAAATAGCAAACTGGCATATGAAAAGGTACTCAACATCATTGATCATCAGAGAAATACAAATAAAAAGTATAATGATCTATCATCTCACTCCAGTTAAAATGGCTTCTATCCAAAAGACAGGCAATAGCAAATGCTGGGGATGTGGAGAAAAGGGAACTCTTATATACTGTTGGTGGGAATATAAGTCAGTACAACCACGATAGAGAAGAGTTTGGAGGTTCCTCAAAACACTAAAAAGTTGAGCTACCGTATGAACCAGCAATTCCACTGCTAGGTAGATACCCCCCAAAAAGGCAATCAGTAGATTGAAGAGATATCTGCACTCCTATATTTGTTGCAATACTATTTACAATAACTAAGATTTGGAAGCAACCTAAATATCCATCGACAGATGAATGGATAAAGAAAATGTGGTACACATACACAATGGAATGCTACTAATCCATAAAAAACAATGTGATCGAGTCATTTGCAACATGGAGGGAACTGGAGTTCACTGTGTTACATGAAATAAGCCAGGCACAGAAAGACAGACATTGCATGTTCTCACTGATTTGTGGGATCTAAAAATCAAAACGATTGAATGCATGGACAGAGAGAGTAGAAAGATGATTAACAGAAGCTGAGAAGGGTAGTGAGGGACTGAAGTCAGGTGGGGGTGGTTAATGAGTACCAAAAAAAAAATATTTAGAAAGAATAAATAAGACCTACTATTTGATAGCACAATAGGGTGACTATAATCAATAACTTAATTGTGCATTTTAAAATAAACTTAAAGACTGTAATTGGATTGTTTGTAACTCAAAGGACAAATGGTTGAGAGCATGGAAACTCCATTCTCCATGATGTGCTTATTTCATATTGGATTGCCTGTGTCAAAACATCTCATATACCTCATATGTGTATATGTTTATAAACACACACTATGTACCCACAAAAATTTTTTTAAAAATTAAAGAAAAATATTTACCAACTAGTAGCAATTAGCATCATTTATTTCAGTTGGTGAAAAATAAAATATTTCCATAGGAATCTACTGCAAAAATATGGTTATAAATATATATAGCTAGCTTTTAGATCTGTCAAATACTGGAAATTAATTACCTCTGTGAAATAAAACAACACAGAAGCTATCAAAATAAAATTAATGGATTAGACATTTCAAAAATTACAAATGCAGACAGCCCTCAACTTATAATCGTTCAACTTACAATTTATTTCCTTTCAAATGGTGTGGAAAGGGCAGATCTGCTACAATCCTGGGCTGAAGATGGCATTACATCCAGATAAACTTGTGATAAATTGAAAATATTATAAATCAAAAGTGTTTTTGATATCAACAAATAATTTTGATGTACAAATCAAAATTGATTTTTTATTTACAAATCAAAAAACACTTTTGATTTACAATATTTCCAATTTACAAGAGGTTTATCGAAATGTAATTCCATCATTAAGTCCAGAAGCATTGTTTATATTGATGCTTTTCAATCAAAGAAAGCAGAATCACTGCAGTTGAACCAAAAGTGAGCTTATTGGCTCACTGAAACAAGGGAGCAAGTAGAGCATGGGATGTGGAGGTGTTGGCACACAGCTTCTCAGTGAAAGGTTTAGATACAGGCTTCTTACAGGCTTGGGCTTATATTTAGGGATTTGGAGAAGATTCAATAAAGCATGATTTTGTTCTGAATTTTAGGAAAAGTAGAGGTGGTTACATGAGTATCTTAATAATTTTATCTAGAAGTTAGGAAGGCAGAAAAAATGTAATTCTCAAAAAAGCAGAAGTTACTTATGTTACTGGGAGAGGAGGACATTTTGTCTGTGATTTAGACATATTATCATTTTGCCTGCACTTGAACATGATTATGAAGAGCTGTTGTTTTGGTTTGGTCCCATCTTTGTCTCAGAGTAGCCTTGTCCATTAATTTATTGTGAAATCATCTATGTTCCATTAGAAAACACTATGGTTGTTTCTAACAATGAGCAGTCATTGGGGCTATTATTTTTTAAGCATAAATGTAGAAAATATAGTCACAATTTGGATGAACATGAAGGAAATTGTATTCTAATCAATAATAATACTTAGAAATGAAAAATTTTGTTTTTTGTTTCCTTCTATATACCTGCCTAAATAATTTGATAGGCTCTCTACCTATATACAAATTGATCCTAGATAAATTCTTAGGAAAGTAAAAGAATAAAGAATAGTTATTCCATAGACAGAGCAGCTCAGAGGGCTGCTGGTTGTCCTTTCTTTTTTTTTTTTTTTTTTTCGAGACGGAGTCTCACTCTGTCGCTCAGGCTGGAGTGCAGTGGCACAATCTCGGCTCACTGCAAACTCCACCTCCCGGGTTCAAGTGATTCTTCTGCCTTAGGCTCCTGATTAACTGGGATTACAGTCACCTGCTGCTACGCCTGGCTAATTTTTGTATTTTTTTTTAGTAGAGACGGTGTTTCACCATGTTGGCCAGGCTGGTCTCAAACTCCTGATCTCAGGTGATCCACTAGCCTTGGCCTCCCAAAGTGCTGGGATTACAGGCATGAGCCACCGCGACCAGCCTGGTTGCCCATTTTTATGGTTATTTCTTGATTATATGCTAAACAAGGGGTGGGTTATTCATGCCTCCTTTTTTTAGACCATATAGGGTAACTTCCTGATGTTGCCATGGCATTTTTAAACTGTTATTGGCGCTGGTGAGAAAACAATTGTCTGTGAATAATAAAAAGTCTTAGCCATTATTAAAGCCACAATTGATAAGGAAATTTTGGTTACTTCTGTGGTATGCAATAATTTTACATAACAATTATAATTATTAACAACATACACTAAGTCATATCAGAATTACAGGAATTTTTCGTAATTTTGGAACACCTGCCAATAACTGTTTATACAAATACAGCCCAAAGAAAGCCAAATACTATTTCATACTTGACAATGCTTTCTGTATGATTTTTATACCAAATAGCCAAATTTCACTTTTACATTAGTATAGTATTAATGTTAAACCCAATTCTTAATAAAACCTCATAGACATATCTACCCAACTTTAATGTTTGACCACAAGGTAAGATTCTCATAAACCTTTAAACCCTTTATAATTTTTGTTAACAAGCTCATTTTATAAAGCATGCTTGTGCTCACAGAAAATAGGAGGTGTCTCTAAGGCAAAATAACAACAGACACAGTGTGCTTTTACAAGTCATTGGGTGTGACAAAGTGAACTTACTATCAATATCCATTTTTTTCATTCTTCTATAGTGGTAGGAGCTCAATATATTTAACTGAGTACAAGACAAGGTGACTATAACTCAGACTTATTTTGAGATAGATACAGCCATTTGACTAAGCTCAGTCAATGAACTAGAAGCAGCAGCATCATGCGGTCAAGTCTTGGAAACTTCAGGAGACATAAGACTGTGTTCCTTGCCTCTTTCTACTGTTTGCCTTCCTCTGCTGCGTAGTATGCAAGTGGAAACAGCTAAGGCCCTAAGTTAAGTCTATCTGTGGCAGATAGACAAGAGAGAAGGAGCCTGGGACTCGGACAGTGGATGGTAATGGCAGTCTTGGACTCTCTACCTGGACATTTATGTGATACAAAATAAACTCCTACCTCATTTTTAGTCACTGCTATTTTAGTTTTTCTGTTCTTCTCTTAAACCTAATAATACTTATTGATACAATAAATAATAAGAAAATACAATGGGCCAAGATTTCCTCAAGACAAATGATAATACTGGTACCAGGGCCTAGAAACTGAAGCCTGGGGCCTTCTTCATTTAAGTGTGTGAACCTGAGACTCTTTTATTAAGTCACAACTCTAAGAAAAAGTACTGATAGGTAGTGTTGAAACCGCCTTTGCAAAATTATAACTGAGGAAATAATGACAGTGAAAGAAATCAGAATTAACTGATTCTGTCTTGCTTCTAACCTTTAAGCTGTCCTTGTTCATTCCTTGGTGTAGGTAGAACTAACTTTGGTAAGGAATTCAGTTCATGGTTTGACTGTGAAACAAAATTGATAATAGCCCTTTCCCAAAAAGACCCCCTTCTTGCCTGGGGACCAATCTGCCTTTGCAGGACTCACAAATTAGCTACAAGATTAGAAATTACAATTTAAGGATCATGCAGCCTCTGCCTCCAAGAGTCTGAACCTCCTTAAATTGCTCCTGGGGATAACATTACTATTGTCAAACCTAAAAACAGTGCTTGGGATATTTTGCAGACCCTGCAGTCGATGGATCAGCTGACACCACCCAGCCTGGTAATCTGGCTAAACCAGTTCTGCCATCCCACCCAGGAACAGAAAACAGCAGGAAAAACTCACTTCCACCCCTGATGATTCCATCACCAACCTGACCAATCAGCACTCCCCACTTCCCAAGCCCCTACCCGCCAAATTATCTTTAAAAACTCTGATCTCCGAATTCAGGGAGACTGATGTGAATAATAATAAAACTTCAATCTCCCACACAGCCAGCTCTGCGCCAATTACTTTCTCCACTGCAATTCCTCTTTCTTCATAAATTGGCTCTGTCTAGGCAGCGGACAAGGTGAGCCCATTGGGCGGTTACAGTGTCACCTGGCTCATATGAGTAAATGCTATATTCAGTAGAAGGAACTGGCCTCTGCTTCATCCATCTGGGATATTGTTTATTATTATTATTTTGTTGTTGTTGTTAAGAGGAGAAGTATTTTTACAGTGTCTTTATATCAGATAAGGAGACTTAAGATCCACATTTTTTTGGAAAGGCACCATTATTTTCTTGGAAGATCACTATAAATTAACTATTGTACTTACTGCTTTGCATATTAGCCTACCCCCACTACTATATTAACTTTAAAAGTTTATTTTCTGTGATAAAAGGTGCAGGATGTACAATAGTTAATTTATAGTGAAAAGACAAACCTGAATTCAGGTTTTCATATTTGCAAGTTTGGATTCTCAAGTTATTCAGCTTCTAGGAAGAGGTGAATATGAATTAGGCTAATATGAATTAATAGAATTAATAGAATTCAGGTTTTCATATTTGCAAGTTTGGGTCCTCAAGTTATTCAGCATATAAGAAAAATAAAACTTCCTAGAAGTGTTCTGGACCTGGGAAGGATGATGAGGAATGTGATGTGGAAAGGAAGGCAGAGAAATTGAAAGTTGGTTTTTATTCAACACTTACTTTGTCAATCACTCAGGTATTAACACACTACAGTAAACATAAAAAGACATGAGAGATACTAAGAAAACAGAGATAGTAAAAATTGCACATTTGGGACTGAAACCAAGGGTCACATATGCCTGGACATTAAGAGACACCTTGACCAGTATCCTTCCCCATCATTCCATTATCTCTGACTTTCTACACATTGACCTTTCCTACTTTCTATACACAGACCTCATCCTATGTTTATTGTGGAAAAATCTCTTATCCCAGAAAATAAATTTTTAAAGTTAGTATAGCTCCAGATAAATGTGTTATGTAAACAAGGCTGATGGTACAGTATTTAGTTCAAAGAGAGTATAGATCAATATTTATATTATTTATTCAATGGGCCACAGATTAATATTAGAAACATATTTATGATTTTGTGCCAAGAAAATATTTCATTATATCATTTATAAAACCAAATAGAAAAACTGTTTCAAAACACTTAGAAATGATAAAGAGATATAATAACAAAAACAGTTTAGTAATAACATATTGTAAATTTTATTATGTTTCATTAATCTAGCCCACTAATCATTTTTACATATACACCAAAAGTTTAATCATTGTAGCTTTATATTTGTGAAGTCTGGTAATATATATTTTTTAATTTTCTAGTTATTTTCTTCTGTTTATTCTTTCACATGAATGTAACATTGTTTTGCCCAGTTAAAATTTTTTTAACATTTATTGTTATATTATTGTATATATTTAGATGAAAAGAGAGAGGAGAGAGAAATGTCTACAACATTATTGAATCTTCCATATATAAATACTCTTTATTTACTTCTATGTACTTTCATAACTTATGTAGCATGTACCAATAAGACATAAACATCTGGTTATGTTTACTTTTTAAAATTTAAGTTTCAGGTTACATTTTATTGGTAAATTTCTGGTTATATTTAACTTTTTAATTTTAAGGATATGTGAATATCATTTTATAGTCTCTATTCTGCATTTCACTTTTATTAAATTGTTTTCACTATCCCAAGTAGATGATTATCTAAGATAATTATTTATTTCTCTATTTCCTATGAATAATGCGTATTTCATTATTCCGTAACATTTTATATGCTTCATTCTTTTTTCATTCTTGCTAGAGTTATACATTTGGATATATGACTCTTGGCTCTACTTAAGATTATTTTAACATTTGATTTCCCTTCTCAGATCTACAGCTAAAAAGAGAGTGGATATGCTTTGCTCTACATGTAGTTTTCATTTATACCACATATTCATGTAGTGAACACTCTTGTACCCTAGTGGGATCTTTTAACTTAAAGCCTAGTTTTCAGATATGTTTTCCTATTAAAGAATCTGGAATATAAGTCCACCTGCACTGGTATCAGGAGTGAAATAATTTCTGAGCCTACATACTTTGAATTACTGACAGTAAAGACACTCTCCCGGTGGCAAGTCTCAGTGGCCTCTTTTTCCTCTTTTCTATCATATCTCTTTTCTTCTCTCTGACTGGGCAAATATGGGGAAAGACGGTTTTAGATGTATTTTTAAATACTATAACCAGAAAAAAATTTCCAGTAAAGAGCGTCTAAGAATCTTGGGGCATGAGGATATTAAGTGAGGGAGGAAAAGTTTTTTCTTTTTTTTTTTTTCAGGAAGTTAACTAAGAATTTTCAGAAATGTATACCATGAAACAAAGGGAATTCTTTAGAGAAGCTAGTAGGCCCTAAGGCCAACTTTTGCCCTTAAGCCAGGAAGCTTTGGTGACAAGAGGGACAGGAAAAAATGCCCAGAACCTCTGCAAGCAGGAAGTCAGAGCTTAGATTTCTCATAAAAAAAGTCCATTTTTCTCAGCAAGTGAATGAGGAAATAACCCACTATGTACAGGCAGCATGGTGATGGGAAACCATGTCTGTCTCAGCCTTAGCTCGAGAGTAGAAGTACAAAAACACAAAACGAAAAGCACTGCTAGAAAGAATCTCTAGGCGGGGCGTGGTGGCTAGCGCCTGTAATCCCAGCACTTTGGGAGGCCGAGGCGGGTGGATCATTTAAGCTCAGGAGTTCAAGACCAGCCTGGCCAATATGGTGAAACCCTGTCTCTACTATAAATACAAACATTAGCCAGGCGGTGGTGGCATGCGCCTTAATCCCAGCTACTCGGGAGGCTGACACAGGAGAATTGCTTGAGCCTGGGAGGCGGAGGTTGCGGTGACCCGAGATTGCGCCACTGAACCCCATCTTGGGTGACAGAAGGAGACTCCATCTCAAAAAAAAAAAAAAAAATCTCTAATCGCTCACTCGCAACTCATAATCACCCACCTAAAGAATCTGCTGAAAATGTATTTTAAGGTAGTCCCTAATTCGTAGTCAGCAAGACCTTTAACAGAGTGAGAGAAAAGTCCTGTCTGGAGAAATGCACATTACAACTGGGACTCAAAGAATTACCACAAGCAAAGGTTTAAATATCACAGGCTCAAATAAATAAATAAATAAATAAATAAATAAATAAATAAATAAATAAATATCAGGGTGCGATTCCTACCCTTAGAAGTAATGAAAAGCAAAGGATATAACTATCACTTTAGACTATACGTTATAATGTGTGAGACAGAGGACTTGAATTATGATATATTTAGGTTTCTTTATTTTTTATTTTTTGAAGATTTTAAAAAATGTATTGACCGGACTGGCCGACATGATGAAACCCCGTCTCTACTAAAAATACAAAAATTAGCTGGGCGTGGTGGCACATGCCTGTAATCCCAGCTACTCCGGAGACTGAGGCAGGAGAATCACTTGAGCCCAGGAGGCGGAGGTTTCAGTGAACCGAGATCGTGCCACTGCACTCTAGCCTAGGCGACAGAGAAAGACTTGCCTCACAAAAAAAATATGTATTCCTTAATGAGAAATAAAAATTGTACATATTTATGGTGCATTACATGATGTTTTTATATCTGTATACATTGTGGAATGGCTAAATCAAGCTAATTAACATATACATTACTTCATATTATTTTGTGTGTGTGATGAGAACACTTAAAATCTACTCTAGCAATTTTCAAGTATACAATCAATATATTGTTATTAACTGTAATATTTATGCTGCTTAATGTCATAAATACATTATTTTACAGCAGGTTTTGTATATTTTGTACAATATGAAATGTAATATTCAATAACACTCATTTATTTCTCTTTTGTTAATGTTTAGTTCACTACCCAAAAAAATCTGTAGAGCTATTTTCTCCACAACAGTCCCTCCGTGAGCAGTACTAATTTTGGGTGATATTCATCCCTTTATGATGGATGATTTTTTTTCTTAATATCTACCAAATGTACATCTGCCAGTAGAAACAGAAGGCTTTGAGAAGGTGACATAGATGATCTTTAGCACCTGTTGCAGCTTCATACCATAAAATAAATTATGGAGGCTAGGCGTGGTGGCTCATGCCTGTGGGTGGATCACGAGGTCAGGAGTTTGAGATCAGCCTGGCCAAGATGGTGAAACGCTGTTGGTATTAAAAATCCAAAAATTAGCCTGGCGTGGTGGCAGGCATCTGTAATCCCAGCTACTCGGGAGGCTGTGGCAGGAGAATCTCTTGAACCCCTGGAGGCAGAGGTTGCAGTGAGCCGAGATCACGCCACTGCACTCTAGCCTGGGTGACAGAGCAAGACTCCGTCTCAAAAAATAAATAAATAAATAAATAAATAAATAAATAAATAAATAAATAAATTATGGAAACATGTTTGTTTAAAACCACAAAAAATCAGTATAATTTTGTAGTAAGCTTTAATCTATACTTTTACAGGATGAACTGCTCACAGACATTATTTTTAAGGACAAATATATAGTAGAATACATCTAATTTTTTTTTTTTTTTGACAGAGTTTCACTCTTGTTGCCCAGGCTGCAGTGCAATGGTGCCATCTCTGCTCACTGCAACCTCCACCTCCCAGGTTCAAGCGATTCTCCTCGCTCAGCCTCCCGGGGTAGCTGGGATTACATAAAATTTTTCTAAGTGTAAACATAATAAACAAAACATTTCAAATGGTAATTACTTTATAGAATACTAGGAGTAATAGGCAATGGCACCCAAATATGAATTGTTTCAAAATAAAATCTGTGGCATTAATTTCAAAATATTCAGATTACATGTATGCATTCACAGACAATACATTATCAGGCATATCTAAAAGATAATCTAAATTTTGAAAGCTTAAAAATGAAAATATACTATGAAACATTTTGTCAATGCCCAATTTTCTCACAGAAATAAGTATAAGAAAGAAGCATGTTCATATTTCTTTCTCATTCACATTAAACTGCATTTAACATTGCTCTGTGCATGTCCATTACAAATTATATACAAACTTTTTTTTCAAATTCCTACTAATAATTCATTGATTCAGATGAACTTTTATCAAAGAACAACAAAGATTTGTGATGTGGGGACTCCCTCTGGCCTTGGATATTTAGATTTCTCCACTCCTTTCCATTCTGTTTAATTCTTATCCGTAGGTGCTCATTGTTTTAAGCATATTTTTCCAACATACCACATAAGTAATAAATACAAAAATTGACCATTTTCATACTTTTGGAGGTTGAATGAAGGTCCTTGGACATTTTTTGAGCAGAAACTTTTGGATTGTGAGGGTAGCTACACTGACAGCAGTTCAGTTAGCAACTGCTAAATTCAGTTAAAAGTGATGTAATTATTTGTTTGATGTTAATGTTTCACCTAGAGAATTTGAAACAACATTCAAAAAGCTTTTTTAACTTTATTTCTTTGTGATAAGACTTTTATCACAGTCAATAGTTCTTTAAAAATGCATTATAATAGACTTTACATTATTTATAGTAAAAACCTAGAAATACTGAAGATAATTAAAAATATGGCTTAATAATTTGAAAATAATATTTGTATTTTAAATATATTGTTATGCTAAAAAGGTAGCATTTTTTATTAGGTTGGTACAAAAGTAATTGTGGTTTCTGTCACTGAAAGTAATGGCAGAAACCTCAATTTCTTTTGCACCAACCTCATAGTTTCTAGTACATTCCTTGCTGAATTAAAGAAAATTATTTAAATGAATGAATATTTAGAACATATTTGTGTCTGAAACTCTAGAAATTTACACTCATTTAAACAAGTAATGAGGAATAAAACATAACATTTCCTGTTTTTATCTACAGAATTATTTATTTTTTCTTCTCACCTCCTTCCTAGATTACTCATTCTTTAAGGCCTGATCTTTCCCTTAACATGGAAACATTAGATGCGTTTTCTTGTCGGTTAATAGTTTCCTCATTTTTGTTTTTAACACTTAAAATGCATTTCTTTGAAGAGTTAATCATGAATTTATTATAATTGTACCTACTTGACTACTTTGTTGCTAGGTTTTAAGGTTCTAGATATCAAAACAATTGTAATTCAGCTTTATGTACTAAATGTAAAATTAGATGATGAGACTGACTGGATGAATGAATGAATGACTAGATAGTGAACAAGTAAAGGAAGTATTGGTCTGCATTTCCCTGATGATTAGTGATGTTGAACATTTTTTCAACTATTTTTTCAACTATGTGTTGGTGATTTGTATGTCTTCTTTTGAGAAATGTCTATTCTACTCTTTTGCCCATTTTTGACTAGGTTATTTGATTTTTTTGCTGTTGAATTGAGTTTCTTATGTATTCTGGATATTAACTTCTTGTTAGATGCATAGTTCACAAATAATTTCTTCCATTCTGTTGGTTTTCTCTTCACTCTGTTTTCTTTGCTGTGCACAAAGTGTTTAGTTTAATGTAATCCCATTTGTCTATTTTTGCTTTTATTGCCGGTGCTTTTGAGATCTTAATCAAAAAATCTTTGCCCAGTCCAATTTCATGAAGCATTTTCATTATTTTTTTTCTAAGTTTTCATAGTTTCAGGTCTTACATTTAAGTATTTAATCAAGCTAGAGTTGGTTTTTGTATACAATGACAGATAGGTGTCTAGTTTCATTCTTCTGATGTGGAAATTCAGTTTTCTCAGCACCATTTATTCAACAGAATGTCCTTTCCCCAGTTTTTGTTTTTCTTGCCTTTGTTGAAAATCAGTTGGCTGTAAATGTGTGGAAATGCAAATGCAAATCAAAACCACAATGAGCTATCACCTCATCTCAGTTAGAATGGCTATTATCAAAAAGACAAAAAAATAACAAATTCTGGCAAGGATGTGGAGAAAGGGAAACTTATGCATTGTTTGTGGAAATGTAAATTAGTACAGCCATTAGGGAAAACTATGGAGGTTCCATACACACAACACACACACAAAAGAAAACTAAAAATAGAACTACCAAATGATCCAGCAATCCCATTACTGGGTGTATAACCAAAGGAAATAAAATCAGTATGTCAAAAAGATATCTGCACTTACGTGCTTACTGCAGTACTATTTACAATATACAAGATATGAAATTAGCCTAAATGTCTATCAGAAGATGAATGGATAAATAAAATGTGTTATGTATATATACAAAATGGAATACTATTTAGCCATAAAACAAACTAAAATCGTATTATTTTCAGCAACATAGATGAACCTAGAGGACATTATGTTATGTAAAATAAGCTAGACAAATACAAATATCACATAACCTAACATGTGGAATCTAAAAAAGTTGATTTTATAAAAGTTGAGAGTAGAATGGTGGTTACCAGTGACTGAGGAGAGTAGGGAAGAGGGGTGAACCAAAGAGGTTAGTCAGCAGATACAAAGTTATAGTTAGACAGGAAGAATAATTACTGGTGTTCTATTACACAGAAGGGTGACTATAGCAAACAATAATGTAGTGTGTATTTTAAGATATCTAGAAGAGGCCACAACAAAGGAATGATAAATATTTAAAGTGAAGGATATGTTAATTAACTTGATCTGATCTTTATAAAATACATACATTCACTAAAATGTCACGCTACATCCCATAAATATGTGCAATTACTATGTGTTAATTCTAAATTAAAAAATTAATTTCTTAACAAGAAAAATAAATGAAGTAAATTTTTTTCTAGAGTCCTCTTTTTCTGCTTCTCACACTATGCCTGACATAGACATCTTATTCTCTGCAACTCCTGCCAGACATAAGACTTGATAGGGAAAGACTCTTGCTCAGCCCTCTTCAACTCTTTTTCCCCCTAATCTTGTTCACAGAAATTTTGTCCAGGGGAAGATACTGTATGATCAGCAGGGAATCAAGTTCAACAGAGGAATAAGAGAAGAATCTTTATACATTAAAAAGAAAAAAAAACTCACTATGTTTTAAAGAATAACAAAAGATAAATGTGATAATGATATAAATTCCTAAACTAAATCACATGTGCTTTTTAGTTGAATTTACATATAAATTTTGTGCCTCCAAAAAGATATTATCCCTGTATGAGTATGTGTCTTGTATTAGGTTGGTGCAAAAGTAATTGCGACTTTTGCCATTAAGAGTAATGACAAAAACCACAATTACATTTGGACCAACCTAATATTTTATTTTTATGTATCCTTCACTATACTTAATACAATGCAAAGTAGTCAATATGTAAACTGCTGAGTAATTGCTTAACCAAACTCTTATGTGTCAGAATTAATTAATCAAAACACCAAATGTACTTCTGAGACTTGATGACATTGTTGTTAATGAGCATTTGATGAGGAATAGAGTAGTGACAGTGTCTTCTAAATCATTTATGCAACTATCTTCATTATAAACTCTTTGTATATAGATTAATAGACTGTTCTTCATATGTCTTAAAAAAGTTTTGTGAAATTCACTTAAAAAATTTTAAGTAGAGATGCAAGTTTTAAGAAGCCATATTTGCTCACATTTGTTAAAAATGCTTAGGCAGTAGGGTTTTTGTTAATTGGAAAAAGAGAGCTAACACCTCATAATATAAAGTAAAATAGCAATTTAAAAAGTATAATAATTGTGATGTAATAACTTACGACTTTTGTTCAGGCTTCTGGATAACATATAAAGTAGAAATGTATTTGACCTTATGTTGTCACACATAAATGCACTTTTAATTTAGATAATATCATCCTTCTAAAACAGACTTTTTCCATAGCCACTCAGTTGAATAAAATGATATTTAAAAAAATTTAATAGCACTAACTGAAGGTCAGTGGTTCCTCATAGATACAAATGTTAAGCAAAGCTTTGTGATTGTTTTTTCCCTCTGGTGATGGTGCTAGGGCAAATAAGTTCCAAATTAGTAAATGTGCAATTTGCATTTTGAAATAACTCAATAGTACTTGTTGCATTATATAAAATTTATAATGATTAATTTTTAGAAATTTTCTTCAAAATATACTGAAACTACTAAAAGTAAAATATAATAGAAAGCAAGCATAGAATGTGTCATACAAGAGAATAATAAAAATCAGGTTATTTTCCCTGTCTCTATGCCAGTTCAATAATAGTAAAATTTAAAAAAAAATAGCTGTAGTTAAATACATATTTTGTGGGAGGAATTCTCACTAGAATTTCATTTCTTTCTTTCCATAGTACCATTAAACTACTAGACTATTTAGAGTAGTATTAAAAAATGAAGTCATTTCTTACTTTTAAAAGATGTTAGTGAGAAAGATAAAAATTTAATATGGTAAAATGAGTAACAGATGATTATTAAAAAGAAAAATTGAAATGGAAAATCCTAGAACAATCAGTAGAGTCATTCAATGAGAGTTAGTGTGCATATTTTTCTGTCTATTTTATTTCAATTTTTAATTCAATTTTTCTTTAAGTTTGTTTTAAAATCATTTGCTTCTGGAGATGCTACTCGTGAAAGATGTTTCTTCTACCAAAAATATTTGTTAAAGTATAAATGATATGTTTTTTATAGTTAAAATAAGAAGACAATCAAAAGTCTAATTTTATAAATCACATCGTTATGATCATACACAGATTTTTTTCTTTATTTTTTAATGCTTAAAGAGGGGAAGAATAATGAGAACAACTAACAACTCACAGAGAATACACTTGATAGATCAGGTACAATTTACCACATAGTGAGTGAGATCCAGAATTGTTAAAGTCTAGTTGCTCAATTAGGATGGAAGCAGGCCTCTGTAGAAAGTTAAGTTTAATTGAGGTTTGAGGCATGCTTTTATAGGAAAGGTTGTGGAGAGGGATGGTTTGACCAATACTACAGAGATCCTTGACGGCGTGACGTGTGCTGTCCCTAGACACTAGAGGGCGGTGCCGGTGTTGGCCGGAGATTAGCTCAAAGGCTAACGGGATGTGGCCCAGCCACAGCCTAAGCTCTTGGTCTTCTGAGAAGCAGCTGACAGAGGATAGCCCTGCCATGGCTTAAGCTTTCAAACTGCCTGTAAAATCTTGGGTTCTTATGAATTTTGGAGTCCAGTAGTTGAAGGTCAATAACTCACATACGGAGCCTGATAAGGTATGATGTAACATTCTCAAGGAGGGCGGAATTACACTCCAAATTTTTATCACAGCAAAACATATGTCACTCAAGTAGCAAACTATGTAAAAGTTTGGAATCATTTCAAATTTACATCACATTATATCTCTTCTAGAGATACAAGTCAGATTAATATGAGATCGTGAATTAAAAATTTGTTAAATATTTTTATTAGTAATATGTTAGATACACAGAACCAATTTAACATCTTTAAGGAAAGCCCTGTTAATTCAATTAAATACACTTAGGAAAAAATATGTATCTTAAGGAAAGCTTTTATAATATTAACCTGATAAAGTTTAAAAAATATTTAAACAGTTCATATCCAGGTTTAATATTTAGCAAAACATCAGTATTCTTTCAATGAGAAACAACTTTTACATTCAGTTTGTAAAGAATCAGTTTTTAACAAGCTGTCTTGGTCACCTGAATTAGTATTCTTTTATCAATGAATATATGTTTCAAAAATTTTATTACATGTAACACGCTAGTGGAAATATTAACGAATACAGCTTTTTTAACCACTTGCAATTTTTTTAGGATATTCAAAATTGAATTATTATGTAATAATGTATAAAGTTTTTAACATTAAGCATACTAATTTTCCAAGTGCTTTCCAAATAAAAAAAAGAATGCATTTATTTTGCTACAGCAGGAAGCAAAAAGGCTTGTGTTGCAGCATTCTTAGTTTTAACAATTTTTATTTTATTTCAACAAAGGTTTTTTTCCCAAGCATAAAGTAAAAATAGATACAGATAGATTGATAAAGATGATAATAGATAGATAGGTGATAGATAGATAGATGTAATATAACAAATGCTCAATTACTCATCAACCCAACTTAACAGTTTCTAAATTATTTCCTTAAATATTTTTTCCAAGTAGATGAGTGTGAACAGATATCTCTATTTTTAAAATGGCATTGAGGGTTCTTTGGTAAATCATTTTGGTTACATGTTTTGTAAATAACCTTTTTTAGCCTTTGTCTATTTGCTAATAATATATGATTTTCAAGTTTGATATATTAAAATGATATATGCTAATGCTAATTATATAATGTTATGTGTTTAATGAATGTTTTTAAATTTTTTGCTTAACTTTTCATTTTTTATCTGTATAGAATACACAATTATAACACAAATTTATTGTTTGTTATATATTATGCTTTCTGCATCTTGTAAATATTTCATATTTTTGTCATAAAAGTTTTAAATTTTGTAATTTTGCCTATCTAATCAGCTATTAATTTACGTTTATACTACGAGGTAGGAATCCTTCTATTTTTATTTTTTCAAAGGGGTATTTCTTGGGAGAAGCAGTCACTTGCACAGTCTTTCCTGTCCAATTGTATAAGAGTGTGCTTTGGGTTGGGAATATATCCTTACAAAGAAATTAAGAGCCTTCATAGCTTGTGCTTCGCCCATCTCTGTTTGGGAATTTCTTTATCTGTTCCAAATTTGTGTACCTTTTTGTTCTACTTAAGTGTGTGCATCAACTCCCGTACTATATGGGTTTCCATAGGGAGGGAATGGATGTCCTTTATCCGAATCACAAGAGGAATGTGTGCAGACCATCCCCTTGCATTGGCTGAGAGCCTGAAGCTCATTATTGAAGCTAACCTTTTCTGTTTCTACTCTATGTGAGCAAAACTTTGTTCCTTCCAATGCCAGTGTGAATTGTGTTTCCCTTGGCCAACCCAACACCTGAAAACCATGGAAGGGAGGCTGACTTCCTGAGACTACTGCTCCCGGCTATCAGCATTGTTATGCTATTTGACATCCTCTATGTGGTGAGACTCTTAACCTTGAGTTGGTAATAAGTATCACTTGCTCGGTAATATTTATTGATTCAAATTCTGTTTAGTGAATCAGTTATCTCTTCTTTGATTGAACTATTTCCAATATTGTCTAATAATATTCCAATAAGAGGTATAAAGAAACTTTATGCCTATATCTAGACTTTCCACTCTGCTCCATTGCTTTATCTGTTTATTTTGCAATGTAACAGCCATAATTGCTATAATTTTTAATTGTACTGATATTTTGTAGAATGAATTCCCTTATCTTAAGCTTTAAATCTAGTCTAAGGTAGACATGGAGATATTGGGACAGAAGAGATGTTGACTAACTTTATTTATTTTTACTATTTCTGCCTCTTGCTGGGCCTGTTGCTAGTATAAATGGAGTTTATAAACAAATTCCAAAATGTACCTTCTGTGATCATATTTATTACAAAATAGGCCCTTTAAAAACAAATTTCAATAATATAATTTTTCTGTGAAATAAGGCATTTCTGCCACATGTTGCAAAGGCTTGATACACAATCTTACTTGGAAGCACTGGACCTTACTCTTTCTTGTATTCTCTCGCACTCACTTTGCTATGCCTGACTATATAGAATTGGGTATGGAGGAGATGGAGGAAGAGGGGATGTAGGGGATGGAAAAACTCTGATTTGACCAATCTGATTCATGTAATCTGGTTCTGGATTTCTCTGGATGTGAATGGACAGAATCCATTTCTTGCAATCTGGTTCTGGATTTCTATGGATGTTAATCTCTTTTCTTAGCAGTGTATATTTTATGGGCTTTTCAAATTCACAACACAGGAACAGTTGACTCCCCAGGCCTGCTTTCTGTATCTTTCTACAGAATCACCTTTGTCCAGGTAGGAAATCTTAGGCAAAACCCCTTGATATGGTTTGGCTCTGTGTCCCACCCAAATCTCACCTTGAATTGTAATAACCCCCATGTGTCAAGGGTGGGACTAAGTGGAAGTAATTGGATCTTGGGGGCGGTTTCCCCCATGCTGTTCTCGTGATAATGATTCACTTTCATGAAATGTTGTGATTTTATAAGCTGGCATTTCCCCTGCTGGCACTCATTCTCTCTCCTACTGCCCTGTGAAGAAGTGCCTTCTGCCATGATTGTAAGTTTCCTGAGGCCTTCCCAGCCATGCGGAACTGTGAGTCAATTAAACCTCTTTTCTTATAAATTACTCAGTCTCGGGTATTTCTTCGTAGCAGCATAAGAATGAACTAATACACCCCTTCAAGATACTTGAGTCCAAACATTATCCAGGGACCCAATCAGTCATTTGGTAGATAGACTTCCCACAGTGTGTCTGAAAGCACAGAGTGCTTTGATTAGTACTCTGAAACAGTCTTCTTACTGGCTAAAGCTAAGGGTGTAAGAAAAACCTTTGCCTGAAAAGCATCCTACTCTCTGTCAGTGTTTATTTTAAGAACTCACTCACTGAGTTTGTGATAATGGTGAGGACCACCAATATTCTAAGCCGTGAGGATACTGGAGGGTAAGAGAAAGAGTTACCCCATACTCCAGCAACTCCCTTCAAAGAAATACCTTTTTAAAATATCTCCCTTAGACCGGCGCGGTGGCTCATTCCTGTAATCCCAGCACTTTGGGAGGCCGAGGCAGGCGGATCGCAAGGTCAGGAGATCGAGACCATCCTGGCTAACACAGTGAAACCCTGTCTCTACTAAAAATACAAAAAATTAGCCAGGCGTGGTGGTGGGCGCCTGTAGTCCCAGCTACTCGGGAGGCTGAGACAGGAAAATGGCGTGAACCCAGGAGGCGGAGCTTGCAGTGAGCCGAGATGGTGACACTGCACTACAGCCTGGGCGACTATATATATATATATATATTTTTTTTTTTTTTTCTCTAGTGGAAAAGTTTGTTCTCCATCTACTCAATGTATCCATCACTAGCCACACATAGCTATTGAGAACTTGAAATGTGGCTCATATGACTGAAGAACAGACTCATACATTTTCATAAATGTACTTTTTAAAAAAATCATTAATTTTAAAATTAAATTTACTAAAAATGAAGACCTAGAGTTCTTTTTGGGTCTAGGAGACCTAAATTTCATTTGTATGATATAAATAAATTGTCTTATATCTTGTTTTGTGAGAGAACTTAGAAAATATTATCTTCTTTTGGGCTCTAGGTGAAATGTTAAATAGAAGAAGTCCTGCTAATATCCACTCCCAATTCTTACTACATGATTTTCTGGATTTAATTTAGATAGTAATATTTTTATCTGTTTTTACATTAATGTGTTGATAGATATGGGTAAATTTTCTAAAATAAGCCATGCATGGATTCTAGGATGAACTCTATTTGTTAATGTTTCAATATTTTAACACACTGCTAAATGTGATTTACTTAGGATTTTTGAATATATGTTCATGAGGAAGAATAATTTATTATTTTATTTTTTGTACTATTTTTGATTACCTTAGAATTAAAAATATACAGATGTCATTTAATGATTTGGGGAGATATTTCTGTCATCCTTAGAGGACTGATTTAAAATGTGCATTATTTCTTCTTTGAAGGTTTGATAAAATCATGTGCTCTTGATTTGATTTGCCAGAAAGAGGTTTAGACATTTGCTTGACTAATTGGTTTAACAATTACTGTTCATTTAGATGTTTATATTTCTTAGTCAATTCTATTAAATTATAGTTTTTAAGAAAACCATTCATTGACATTAAATAGTACATATTTTTTCCTTTTAATTCCTCCATCTGTATGCTTAAGATCATGCACCTATTTACAATTACATCATTGTTAATAATGATAATGCTTTGCAATCACAAGGACTAATTCCAGAAATCCTGTGATGCCTAAAGTGTATTCGACAAAAAATTATTCTTCTCACGTTTTCCACCCCGTATTATCTTTTTTTGCTAGTGATTGAAGAGTATTCACATTAAAACTTGAATTAAACAAAAAATAAGTGGCAATAGAAGACCCTTTTGAATGGCAGCCTTATATTTCTCTTGAATTCCTGAACTGTAAGTTATAATTTGAAAAATGGACACTAACGAAAAGGCCATAAGACAGTATTTATGAAGTTTAAGCACCAACTTGGAGACAATCACATCTCTTTTGATCCTGATTCTAATATTTTATCTTTTAAGTTTAAAGCATATACATTACTCTCTAAAGCTGGTATATTTATCATTTCACTGGAATTTGTGTATTATATTCTAAATTGTATGTCCTTATGATTGGATATGCTTTCGTTTTCCAATATTTCTGTCAATGGCATTTCTTACCTATACAATATTAAACATAGTCAGTTTTTATTTTAGAAACTATTATTATATATGTCAGTCCGTGAAAGAAAAATAAGATATGGACTCTTCCCGTACTAATCTTATAGCTATTATTTTAATAGTATTATCTACCAAACAAAACTGTGTAATTACATTATGACTTTCTCTATTTGAATTTTGGAGATATTGTACTTAGTACAATTTCCTAAATTGTCATGCTTAAAGTATATATTTTCATATTTAGAGAGATGTGTGTATATGTAAACACATCCATATATGAACCCATATCATACTAATATAGTAAGTTTTTTGTGATTGAGTGATCCTTGTTTTAACAAAGACTTGATTATTTAGTACATTTTTGATATATTAAAGCTATTTATCAATTTTTCTATGCCATGAATGTAAGATAGCAGGTATTTTACACACTACCAAAGGAAAAATAGATTTAAAATAATTTAATTATGGCCTTAGATTAGATTTTAACATCTTTACGTCCACGTGGACTATGTATTAGAGTAAGACTGTCAGTCTAGAAACAGCATGAAGGACATGTATGGAAGAAAATAAAGATCACATTCGTGATGTCCTAATTATAATTTTAGTAATTTCTGAGGAATGTTTTTCATGATTTTGTAGTTTCTCAGCAAAAGGCCTTTGAATAATTAGAGATACATGTATCTCTCCATCAATGGCCCACGAGTTGCTTCAGTTCAGACTCAATGGTCTCAAAAATGCTATCCTCCAGAATCTAGATTTTCCCAAGATGCAGGTGTCATTCATAGGCTTTGAATGATGAAATGCCTTTGTATCTAAGATTTTACACATGAAAGGACAGAGAGATTTATGGTTCAGATAATAATAGTTAATATTTATGACATGCTTGCTTTATACTAAAGGACCTTAGTTCTTTAGATATAATAATTGTTTCAATTACATAGCAACCAAATGATGCCAGGAATTATTGTTATCATCTCTGAAAAGAACAAGGTTGTAATAAGTGATAAACCCAAGATCATCTATTCAGACTGAGGAAGAACTCAGGTTTGAATCTAGGCAGTCTGGCTCCGGAGGGTAGTTATCAGGTGTGATTCTGCTCTTTAACTGCTGTGCAAAGACCAGTCAGATGAATAACACAAGTAAGCTTTAAAAATAGTCTCCAGTATATATGTATGGCCTACAATCTTGTATTCATGTAATAATTTTGTCCTTTATAAGACATACTGCTGTGACAAAAAGGTACCTGCAGTTTTCAATGCTTATAATTTGATATCATTGTTTATTAAATATCTGTTGAGCAGCTCATCAAAAATTAATCACTGTGTAAGGTACAATGCAATATAAAACAGATGTATTTCTGAAGTTTCTGATCGAGGTAAGTTGAGATAGTAAACCACAAATTATAGAATCAAGCATCTATGAAAGGCAGAAACAATGACTGCTAGATGACCCAAAAGATATGTAGGATGACCACTGAGCAAGACTGGTCAAGAAGTGTTTCCAGGAGTTGCTGAGATTTTACTTGACATATGGGGCAACTGCCTTTGTCTCTGACTCACAAATACAAATTCCTTATGGAGCAGCCACTATATTCTTTATCCCCAACTGTCCCCATGACTCTCCAAATGTATGGTGCAGCTAAAGTTAAATTCTAGAATTAAGTACTGTATTCAACTTTGCTTCCTAGAGTTGACTGATCCTCTTACATGAATTCTCCTCTTTCTATTATGGTTACCTATTTAAGCCATAGTTGAACTTGTTATAGTTTATATTGCATGTACCTAGTTTACACTGCTAATTTCTCTGATATTTTTTTCCTCTTCATCCTTAGCAGTTATTATTTTAAATAACATTCCTGCACCACCCAAGTAGTCAAAAGACAAACCAAAGTCAGTTTCCTCTCCCCAACACCTGTTGCCTTTTTGCATTGGTCACAAGGTGTTGGGCTATCTCTGATTTATGCCCATAATACTTGGATATTGCTTTTATTTTGAAATTATTCTGCTCTACATAAGGTCTCTGGACTCCACTGCTGACAACTTAGTCCAGAAGCATGTGAGAATGTAGGTCATCTAAGCTTCCTAACTCATTTTTATTGGATAATTTTCTTCTGTGATGTTTTAGGTGTTGTTCCTCCATGTAAGAGCAGTATGTGTTATGGTTGGTTTCCATAAAAACTTCAGTTGTGGTCTTTTCCAGGAATTCAACTGATGGAAAACCAACAAAGAAAAGATCAAAGTAAAATATTTAGTATAAGCCCTTTAAATCACTGAATTATTTATAAAATTTTCCAACTCAAGGCATAAGCCAAATTGATGTCATCCTTCATATTCTATTTTTAATTGTACAGGATGTAGTCTAGAAGATATACCTTTAGGCATTAATGATTATTTTTCTGATCTTGTATAGTCTTTCAGCAACAGTTGAGCACTTTAGATGAGGTTCTGGAATATATCAAAATGCCAACCAGACAAATACTAACTATCCTATTAAATTATGTAGAATGTTAACAGAGTTACAATATATAGAGGAGAATATTGTATGGCAAAAGTCATCACCAGATACAAAAATTATCTGAATCGGTTATCTATTCTCTTTTCCACCTATATCTACCTTAGATCAAAACAGTGTTAAATGCCAATCCAACTTTGATGTTTAACTTAGTGGCTACTTGATCTCCCTACAGAAGAAAATATTAGCAATCTTTTATATATATATATATATATTTGTCATCTTTACTCATTTGAAATCCTCACTTTTTTATATGAATAGTAATAATGCAATCTACATATGAGCTGGTGGTCTATGCCTCTTGAAACCTGGTTAAAATGAATATAAGCTTTCAATTCTGAGACCTGGGCCTTTTCTGCTGGCTCCATTAGTCTACATGCTCCTTCCACTCCTTCCTCATCTTCTTATTCTCAGATTGGGTAGCACCAGATTCTTTTTCCTCCTCTCAGTAGAGAGAGAGTGAGAAAGAGAGAGAGAGAATCCATCCTACTCAGCTCCTATTTGAATATTTGCATATTAAATATACTAAGTGGTTCAAGAAAAAAATTGTTTTATCTACCTGCAACCACCTTCTTAATGGCAGATGTTATTTAGAATTTGGCAGATCACAACAAAATGAAAAGGATGTAGGCTGAAGGAAACGTGACCTCTTTTATAAGATTTTTGTGTGTTGATACACATTTTTTAACCAATGTGTGCGTGTGCATGCAAATACACATCAAATGTCACACCTTTTGCAACCATAAGGAACATATATGTTTTGGGAGGCTTAGCTAAGAATGAGTTAATTGGTCAGATTACAACCCTCATATGGTAGCAATTCCTAAACCTCAGTTTCTGAGGTTATTATTAATAGAAAGTAAACTTACTCTCTACGCCACTTGGAATCTACTAGCATGGAGCATTTTTGGGAGGAAAAAAATAACAGAAGAATTAGCAGATACCTACCTGTGTTATCAAATGCATAGGAATTTGAGACATGCAAAGGCCATTTGAAAAAGCAGTTTATAATTAATTTGTTAATTAATTTAATGTGAATCAAGACATTCTTAGATTGGACAAAGTTTTGGTAAAGGAAAAGTTTTGGTGCCTTAGAGAAGTGATACCCAAAGTGCAGTTTCTACTCCTGAAGGTACATGAAAATATTATATCTGATCAATTTCTGTGTCTATTTTTTGTGTAGAGTATATTAGTACAGTTGTATGAGCACAAAATTGTAAACAACGTGCATGTATTAGGGAAATGGGCTTAAATTTTATTGTATTGTTATACAGCATATAGGAGAAAAATAATTGAGGTTGCTGGTTGAAAGATGTTATGCATTGCTAAGCATAAATGCAGGTCCCTAACCACGTTAAAAGCTCTAAATTGATTGTTCTTAACATAGCTGTCAACTTGACATGAAAAATGGTCTTCAATTTGGAGGAGATAAAAAGCATGAGTGACTTGCTATTCTCAGTGAAAGTATAAATTTATCATATTGTTCTAGATGAGCAATAAATAAATAAATGTTTCCATTTAATATGCTTTTTTTTTAGATGGAGTCTTGCTCTGTCACCCAGGCTGGAGTGCAGTGGCTTGATCTCGACTCACTGCAAACTCTGCATCCCGGGTTCAAGTGATTCTCCCTCCTCAGCCTCCTGAGTAGCTGGGATTACAGGCACATGCCACCACATCTGGCTAACTTTTTTCTATTTTTGCTAGAGATGGGTTGTCACCATGTTGGCCAGGCTGGTCTTGAACTCCCGACCTCAAGTGATCCACCCATCTTAACCTCCCAAATTTCTGGGATTACAGGCATGAACCACTGCTCCTGGCTTAATATACTTTATCTTAAAATATGATTCTTTCATACTTTATGCAAGATTTTTGTGGTAATATGCACACATATACACACATGTCACAAAATGAAAGATTCTTTCACAAAAGAAATGGCTATGGTACAAATATCCATTAAGTATTCTACACTGTAAAATGGGAAGTCAATTTTTATGTAGAGTACATTTTACCAACTAAACCTTTGTGAAATAAGAATTACAGAGAGAAGTTCACTGTATACTATAGTGAAAAATATATAGTCATATTTAGTATAGTTACCATTTTGAAAATGCTTTGACTTTTTTGAAGCACTTGAGCAACAAATGACTCTTAAAATCTTATACAACAAACAATATTATCCCCTACATTTTTGCTTCTACATTTGCACTTCTCAATAATATTTAATATTCTGCACCGTTTTGAAGATTTTTACCTGTAGCCCAAAAAGCCACTTTTTTGAATTTATAACACTTTAAAATAAAATGCATAAAACACTATTTTCAACAAGTTTATATGATAGGTATTACATATGAATTATATTGAGATCTATGCAAATATATTGGAATAATTATTTCCACTATATATTTATATGTACTATTATTTTTTTAAGTTTTGTAATAAAATGGAAAATGTTCTTCCTTTGTTATGGCAATGTTATTTTATAGATGTAACTATATGTTTACAAAGCAAAAAAAGGTGAGCTATGGTAAAAACTTGTTTTATATAACATTTGAAGTTTTGATAACAATAGATTTCAAATAAAAACCAAGAATATACTTTATTTAATGTCTTGAAGAATTTGTAGTACTTTTAGTTTTATTTTAGAGACAGATTTTGTTACTAGTTTTACTAAGAACAATGTGTTCTCAATGAAGAGGCTCCCCGTATTAAAACTGTTCCCTAGGAATATTTTAGAATATTTTAGAAAATTAAATTTTACTTATATGCCATTAAGGTACAGATATAGCCTCACATTTAAAAATTTCAAATACGTGAAAATCTTCTGTATAAATTTAGAATATTAAATATAACTGAATACAAAGGTTAATCATTCACTGTACTTATCTTTTAAAAGGATGATTCAGCTGACAGAGTTCCTTTTTTTAAAAAAAAATAAAATTTTAATTTATACAAACTTTTAAAAAATAGGCCTGTTAAGAAATGGGAAGTACACCTGAATCAATAATAAATTAAATTACTGTTTTAAGCACTTAATCATATCCCAGAGGCCTGAAACTACTAATGCTGTTTTCACAAAAATCTAATATATT
The DNA here is from genome assembly GCF_000001405.40 of Homo sapiens. NCBI lineage: Eukaryota > Metazoa > Chordata > Mammalia > Primates > Hominidae > Homo > Homo sapiens. The sequence continues at coordinate 74,032,950 of NC_000012.12, forward strand.
CTAAAGAGAGTAGTTTCTTCACTATGAATCTCAAATTCATTTTGTGTAATTATCCCATTGATATTTGACAGTGTGTTTGGAGATATATTTATATTTGAATGTCTTTCTCTTTTATTCATTATGAGCCTTTTGAAGGTAAAATATATACCTTCTTTATGTTGTGGAAGATAAGATTGATCTCTACGGCATTATTGAATTGTTGATAATAATGTTAAACACACCCACCTATATACCTCCAAGAATGATTTGGCGATTAATGAGGTATATTTAAATCATTTGAGATTCAGAAACATAAGACTTCATACTATTATTTTTTTAATCCAGGCATTCTAATGTAGCCTCATAAGCATTTTACGAGATTTATTGGCCAAGAAAATTGCCTGAGTAAAATATAAAGAGTATTTCAATATTTCGAATATTGAGCATACTCAGAAACTTTCTTTGAGTCTAGGTTCACTAAAGTAATAGACGCACGGAGATAATTATATTGTAGGAAGCCCTCATTTTAGAGATGAAGAAACAAAACAAAAAAGGAAAGTGTCTTACTCAAGGTTGATAGCAAGTTTCTCAGTTATTCCTCCCCCTTCCATAAGATCAAGCAGGCAGACTCCTCTGCTTTTTACATTTTCCTCAATTGACAAGGTCTATTCACTGTTGAAAAGCTCTTACATTAAAACAATCTTTGCAATTCCTTTTTATTTGTCACTCAATTGATTGCCTTTAATTAACCCACTGCCTTATCAGAGAGAGGTGTGAAAATTGCTCTTTGCTCTTCTCAGCTTCTGTCAGGTTACTGAGCAGCGTCCTGTCTGGTTGGCACTGCAGTGCAAACTGAAAATGCCCATCACTAAAATTTCTCTTACGTGCTGAACTAAAACCTCAAACAGCTGACAGCATTTTGCCTCTCTAAGGTCTCCCATCTCAGAGTTTCGTTATTTAACTCTATTTTTGCTTGGTGTGAACTTGTTCTTCATCCAGACTAAATGGTGGTCTTGAAAGAAGGGGTCTACATCCAATGGAAAGTGTGACAAAATTCACTAAGTTATTGGAATAAAAGTTATAATTCTATTTATATTTATTAAAATTTAGAAAGAAACAAGATTTTACTAATGTTTTGTAAATGGATTGACCCTTACATCTACATTAATCCATGTATGAGGTAGTCAGTTTTTATTCACAATTTAGAAAATACAGAGGCAAGAATAGGATTTGAACAAAAGGGATGAAAAATTGCATTCTCGTTCATATGTAGCTTTCAGCATATTGCAAGTTAACCATTTAGGTGAATATGATTTATCCTAGTGGAGTATTTAAAATATTTAATACTGAAGTAGGGAGTGAGCAAGAAAATTGTTTATTTTTTGTTGACTGGTTGTTTGTTTTGCTGGTCAGAGACTTATTGTTTATCTCATGTGTAAGTACTTAAAAAGATATAGTCTATTTATTTATTTATTTATTTTTGAGATGGAGTCTTGCTCTGTCACACAGTTGGAGTGCAGTGGCACAATCTCTGCTCCTGCAACCGCTGCCTCCTTGGTTCAAGAGATTCTCTTGCCTCAGCCTCCCGAGTAGCTGGGTTACAGATGCGCGCTATCATGCCCAGACAATTTTTAGTAGAGATGGGGTTTTACCATATTGGCCAGGCTGGTCTTGAACTCCTGACCTCATGATTCACCTGCTGTGGCCTCCCAAAGTGCTAGGATTACAGGCATGAGCCACCACGCCCTGCCAAAAAGATATAGTCTAAAATCAACACGAGTTCCATCAACTTCTGTGCCCAGGGAGATGCAGCATGTACTCATTTTTCTATTCCTTCCACAAAGTATAACTAAAACTGTGGACATTATATTTAAAAAAGAAAAGAAAAGAGGTGTCTGAAAAGTTAAAAGAAGAAAGACTAGCTAGGGACATCAGGACTCAGATTGTTGCCTCTCCAGAGGCAATTGCCAGGCAAGATAATGTTGATTCTCCTCAGAAACCACCCTCAATACCCCTGTTTGCTTCTAGACCTGTAACTAAAGTCCTGGCAGGCTCCTAGAACTGAGGTTCAGAGTGACTGTGTGACCCATGAGGAGATGCACTAAACTTGAAAAAAACTGCGTGAGTTTTCTAATTTATATAAATAGAAATCTGGAGAACAGGCATGGGAATAGACATTAAGGGCATGGGATAATTGTGGAAGTAACATAGAGTTGGATCAGGCTGAATTTATTTATTTGGGCCCACTAAGTAGGGATTCTGCATTTAATGTTGCAGCTCGGGGAGTTAAAAAAAAATTCTAATAGTTTATTTGCTTGGTTAGCTGAAATATGGAATTAAAGATGGCCCACTGTGAATGAGCTGGAAATGCCTGGTCTCTCCTGATTTAATGTAGAGGAAGGGATTCTAAGTCTTAGGGAGATTGCGATGCTGGAGTGGATTAGTCATTTTATACCTATTTATTCTAGCTAGGGGGTTCTAGAAGATATACCCTTGACCAATGCTTTGCAAACCTGAATTTTTGAAGAGCACTATAATTGCTCTTCTCTGTGTGTCAGATCTAACAGTAGGTACCACAGTCATTCAATTAAAAAATGTAAATACAATGGGAATAATTGGATCTCAAGGTGGCAGGGGCCAAGTGGGAGCACTAAACGATCAAAGGCAAGGTGGGTGTAGCTACCGTAATGGACAGCAAAGGCAAAGCAGCAATTAGAATAGTCTGACTCATGTGGAGTTCTGGCATTGGCTAATTAATCACATTGTTTCTAGAAGTGAAATTGATAGGAAGCCTACTGCATTCCTACTTAATTTATATGAGCAGAAAACTTCCAGATTGAATGGACAAAAGACTAATTTGAATTATAAAAACAGAATCACAGTCCCTCAATCAATTTCCAGACTTGAGCCAGTTTACAGACCCAGAACCCCTTGAAAGAAGGGGAGGCTGGGTCCCTTGTGGAAGGACCCCACTAAACTACTGACAAATTATGCTGTTAATCTTTCTCCCATTCTTCCCCAAGGAGATCTCTGGCCCTTTACCAGGGTAACTGTGCATTGGGGAAAGGGAAATTATCAGACATTTCAGAGACTATTGGACACTATCTCTGAGCTGACGTTGATTCCAGGGGACCCAAAACATCATTGTGGTCCTTCAGTTAAAGTAGGTTAGGGAGGTCAGGTAATTAATAGAGTTTTAGCTCAGGGCCAACTTACAGTGGGTCCCTGGACTCATGCAGTTGTCATTTCCCCAGTGCCGGAATGCATAATGGGCACAGACATACTTAGCAGCTGGCAGAACCTCCACATTGGCTCCCTGACTGGTAGGGTGAGGGCTATTATGATGGGAATGGCCAAATGGAAGCCATTAGAGCTGCCTCTACCCAGAAAAAGGGTAAATCGAAAACAATGTTGCATCCCTGGAGGGATTGCAGAGATTGGTGCCACCAGCAAGACCTTGGATGACACAGGGGTGGTGATTCCACCACATCCTCATTTAACTCTCCCATCTGGGCTGTGCAGAAGACACCTGGATCTTGAAGAATGACAGTGGATTATCACAAGCTTAACCAAGTGGTGACTCCAATTACAGCTGATGTACCAGATGCGGTTTCATTGCTTGAGCAAATTAACACATCTCCTGGTACCTGGTATGCAGCCATTGACTTGGCAAGTGACTTTTTCTTTATTCCTGTCCATAAGACCCACCAGAAACAATCTACCTTCAGCTGGCAAGTCCAGCAATATATCTTTACTGTGCTACCTTAAGGGGTATATCAACTCTCCTACTTTGTGTCATAATCTTTTTGAGAGAGACTCTGATCGCTTTTTACTTTTGCAAGATATCACACTGGTCCATTACATTGATTACATTATGCTGATTGGATCCAGTGAGTAAGAAGTAGCAACACATTAAACTTATTGGTGAGACATTTCCTGGCCATAGGATGGGAAATAAATCTGACTAAAATTCAGGAAACTTCTCTCAGTAAAATTTCTAGGAGTCCAGGGATGTGGAGCCTTTGAGATATTCCTTCTAAGGTGAAAGATAAGTTGCTGCATTTCGACCCTCCTTCAACCAAGAAAGAGGCACAGCGCTTAGTGGGCCTATTTGGATTTTGGAGGCAACGCATTCCTCATTTGGGTGTGTTACTTTTTCCCATTTATCAAGTGACCTGAAAGGGTGCTGGTTTTGAGTGGGGTCCAGAACAGAAGAAGGCTCTGCAATAGGTCCAGGCTGCTGTGCAAGCTGCTCTGCCACTTGGGCCATATGACCCAGCAGATCCAATGGTGCTTGTGGTGTCAGTGGCAGATAAGGATGCTGTTTGGATCCTTTGGCAGGAACCCCATAGGTGAATCACAGCAGAGGCTGCTGGGATTTTGGAGCAAGGCCCTGCTATCTTCTGCAGATAACTACTCTCCTTTTGAGAGACAGCTGTTGGCCTGTTACTGGGCTTTGGTGAAAACTGAACATTTGACTATGGGTCATCAAGTCACCATGTGATCTGAACTGCCTATCATGAACCGGGTGCTTTCTGACCCATCTAGCCACACAGTGGGTCGTGCACAACAGTATTCCATCTTCAAAGGGAAGTGGCATATACGTGATCGGGCTCAAGCAGGTCCTGAAGGCAAAGTAAGTTACATGAGGAAGTGGTTCAAAGGCCTATGGTCTCTACTCCTGCCACCCACCCTTCTCTCCCCCAGCCCGCGCCTATGGCCTCATGAGGAGTTCCCTGTTATCATTTGAAGAGGAAGAGAAGACTAGGTCCTGGTTCACAGATGGTTCTGCATGATATGCAGGTACCACCCAAAATTGGACAGATGCAGCACTGCAGCCCCTTTCTAGGACAACCCTGAGGACAGCAGTGAAGGGAAATCTTCCCAGAATTTCTAGTAGTGCATCTGGTTGTGCACTTTGTATGGAAGGAGAAATGGCCAGATGTGTGATTATATAGATTCATGGGCTGTAGCCAATGGTTTGGCTGGATGGTCAGGGACTTGGAAGAAGAATGATTGAAAAATTGGTGACAAAGAAATCTGGGGAAAAGGTATGTGGATGTACCTCTCCGACTGGTCAAAAACTGTGAAGATATTGTATTTCATGTGAGTGCTCACCAAAGGGGGACCTCAGCAGAGAAGGATTTTAATAATCAAACGAATAGGATGACCCATTCTGTGGACGCCACTCAACCTCTTTTTCCCAGCCACCCCATCGTTGTTCAATGATCCCCTGAACAAAGTGGCCATGGCAGCAGGGATGGAGGTTACACATGGGCTCAGCAAGAGGGACTTCCACTCACCAAGGCTGACCTGTCTATGGCCACTGCTGAGTGCCCAATTTGCCAGCAGCAGAGATCAACAGTGAGCCCTCAACATGGCACCATTCCTTGGGGTGATCAGGCAGCTACCTGGTGGCAGATTGATTATATGAGACCTCTTCCATCATGGAAAGGACAGAGGTTTGTCCTCACTACAATAGACACTTACTCCAGCTATGGGTTTGCCTATGCTACATGCAATGCTTCTACCAAGACTACCATCCGTGGACTCATGGAATGTCTTATCCACTATCACGGTATTCCACACAGCATTGCCTCTGACCAAGGCACTCACTTTACGGCTAAAGAAGTGTAGCAGTAAGCTCAGGCTAATGTAATTCACTGGTCTGATCATGTTCCCTAACATCCTGAAGCAGCTGGATTGATAGAATGGTGGATTGGCCTTTTTGTTTGTTTGTTTGGTTATTGTTGTTGTTGTTGTTGTTGTTTTGAGACAGAGTCTTGCTTTGTCACCCAGGCTGGAGTGCAGTGGTGTGATCTCGGCTCACTGCAACCTCCACCTCCTGGGTTCAAGTGGTTCTCCTGTCTCAGCCTCCCAAATAGCTGGGATTACAGGTGTATGCCACCAGGCGTGGCTAATTTTTGCTTGTCTGATTTTTGTATTTTTAGTAGAGACAGGGTTTCGCCATGTTGGCCAGGCTGGTCTTGAACTGCTGACCTCAGGTGATCTACCTGCCTTGGCCTCCCAAAGTGCTAGGATTACAGGTGTGAGCCACTGTACCCGGCCTGGAATGGCCTTTTGAAGTCACAATTACAGTGCCAACTAGGTGACAATACTCTGCAGGGCTGGGGCAAAGTTCTCCAGAGGGCTGTGTATGCTCTGAATCAGCCTCCAATACATGATACTGTTTCTCCCATAGCCAGGATTTACAGGTCCAGTAATCGAGGGGTGGAAGTGGAAGCGGCACCACTCACTATCACCCCTAGTGATCTACTAGCAAAATTTTTGCTTCCTGTTCCCATGACATTACATTCTGCTGGCTTAGAGGTCTTAGTTCCAGAAGGAGGAGTGCTGCCACCAGGAGACACAACAACAATGCCATAAAACTAGAAGTTAAGATTGCCATCTGGACACTTTGGGCTCCTCCTACCTTTAAGTCAACAGGCTAAGAAGAGTGTTACAGTGTTGGCTGGGGTGACTGGCCCAGACTATCAAGATGAAATCAGTCTACTACTCCACAATGGAGGTAAGGAAGAGTATGCATGTAATACAGGAGATCCATTAGGGTGTCTCTTAGTATTACCATGTCCTATGATTAAGGTCAATGGGAAACTACAACAGCCCAATCCAGGCAGGACTACAAATGGCCCAGACCCTTGAGGAATGAAAGTTTGGATCTCTCCAACAGGAAAAAAAAAAAAAAAAAAAAAACACCTGCTGAGGTGCTTGCTGAAGGCAAAGGGCATACAGAATGGTTAGTAGAAGAAGGTAGTCATCAATACCAGTTACGACCACATGACCAGTTGCAGAAATGAGGACTGTAATTGTCATTAGTATTTCCTCCTTCTTTTGTTAAAAGCATGTTTGTGCATGTATACACTTTTACTTAGAAAGTATCCTTATTTTATTTCCGTTTTCCTTTATCATGTGACATAAGATTTGTCGACTTCATATCATGATTTAAGTATTGCTAACTTTATGTAATACCATTTGGATCGGGGATTGGTGCACTTCCAGTTGTATAAATGATAACTTTATTGTCTTAGGCGTAATTATGACTTTATTATTGTTCTTATTTGAAGATTCTGTGTGATCTTAGGAGATGTGTGTGAGTTCAAGTTGACAAGGGGGGGACTTGTGATGGTTAATACTGTGTGTCAACTTGATTGGGTTGAAGAATGCAAAACATTGATCCTGGATGTGTCTGTGAGAGTGTTGCCAAAGGAGGTTAACATTTGAGTCAGTAGGCTGGGGAAGGAAGACCTACGCATAACCTGGGTAGGCACCATCTTATCAGCTGCCAGTGTACGTAAAGCAGGCAGAAAAATGTGAAAAGACAACACTGGCTTAGCCTCTCAGCCTACATCTTTCTCCTGTGCTGGATGCTTCCTGCCCTCGAACATCTGACTTGAAGTTCTTTAGGTTTGAGACTTGGACTGGCTTCCCTGCTCCTCAGCTTGTGGACGGCCTATTGTGGGACCTTGTGACTGTGTGAATTAATACTACTTAATAAACTCTCCTTTATAAAATCTATCCTATTAGCTCTGTACTTCTAGAGAATCCTAACAAATACAGGGGTAAAAAGCCCAGAGACAAGAAAAAGGGCAGTCTAGCAAGACGGAATACTTTTAGACAATAACTCCTCTAATCCACGCAAATACCACAGAGAAAACAGTGTCCAGCTCTCACTCACACCAGCAATGGTCAAGCAGTGAGCTCAGGCTTTCACACTTGTTAGGCTGTTGTATGGCACCAGGGTGGTAGCAGGGAAGACCAAGTGGGAGCCTGAGACATTTTTCCCAGCTGGGGGGTAATGAAGACACCCACTACTTTCTCTTTTACCTCTACTGTGTTGGTGGAGACTGCTGAGGAGCCAGGACAACAAATACACTCAGAGGTAACTGAAGTGGTACCTTATAGACAAAATAAAGATTAAGTACTTTCACCACCATCCAATAGTAAAGAGGCCACTCTCCATCTGGCATCAGTGGAGGTCACATAAGTAAGGAGGCACTTTTACCTCTCCCAGCCATGGTGGTGCCAGCAGAGTTCCACAGAGGAGCTGCAACTCTCTCATCACTACCAAGCAGGAACAAGGAGCCCCTCATCACCTGATCTCAGTGGAGGTCAAGTGGGGAAACAGGACTTCTGCCACCACCTGGAAATCACAAGACACCTCCAACACTGGAGTGTTGTCAGAGACAGTTTTAAAGAAGACCCATATTCATATCACATAATACTCAAAATGTCCATGTTTCAATCAAAAGTCTCACTTCATTCCAAGCACCAGGAAAACCTCAGTTTGAATAAAAAATAGACAATCATCAAACTCCTACAATGAGATGACAGAGATAATTATTTGATGAATTTTTAAAAGCAATCATCTTAAAAATGTTTTCATGAGCTTTTACAAACATATTTGAAACAAATAAAAATTATAAAGTCTCAACAAAGAAATATAAAATATAAAGGATAGACAAATGGACATTATCAAAGTAAAAAATACAATTATGGAAATAGGTAATTCAATGAATGGGCTAAACAGCAGAATAATAGAATGGGCAGAGAAGAGAGTCACTGAACTTGAAAATAGAATAATGGAAATTATCCAATATGAACAACAGAAAGAAAATAGTATTTCTCTTAATAGTATTTCCTTTCCTTTAGAAAATAGTATTCTAGGTCAGGCCTGATGCCTCATGGCTATAGTCCTAGCATTTTGGGAGGCCGACGCAGGTAGATCACTTGAGGTCAGGAGTTTGAGACCAGCCTGGCCAACATGGTGAAACCCCATCTCTACCAAAACATACAAAAATTAGCCAGGCATGGTGGCACACACCTGTAATCCTAGCTACTCTGGTGGCTGAGGCAGGAGACTCACTTAAATCTGGGAGGCAGAGGCTACAGTGAGCCAAGACTGTACCACTGCACTTCAGAGAAAAAAGAAAGAGAAAAAAAGAAAGAACGAAGAAAGGAAAGAAAGAAAGAAAGAAAGAGAGAAAGAAAGAAAAGAGAAAGCAAGCAAGCAAGCAAGCAAGCAAGAAAGAAAGTTATGTGATTATGTTAATTTACATTATGAACCAGACACTGTTTTAAGCACTTGGACCCAGTGACAAATAAGACAAGCTACCTGCCCCCAAGAATCACAAACAGCAATCAAGTTTTTTCTAGAATTATGTAAGTTATGTAACAGAGCACAGAGGTTGAGAAGGGAGAGAGAGAAAGGAGTAGAGGAGGGGTTGCTGAGAAAGGGGAGAGAATATGGAGAGAATGGAGAATAAGGAGAGGGAACATTCTTCACACTTACATTGAAAATCAGGTCAGTACAGACTGTGGATCTGAGTAGAGGACAGCTAGGGCTTAAGGAGTTTGGGTGGCTTTCAGAACATCTAGTAGGAATTATATAGTAAGTACTATGCTTTGAGGCTAATTAAATATTTTGTTACTCATTAAACTTCCTCTCATGCCTAGAATTAATATCTTTTTCTGGTTCTGTAAGTGCAGAATTTTATAAATATACATGTTCTATTTTTATATATAATACAGTATACATGCATATATGTGAATATATGTGTGTGTGTGTATGTGTAATTTCACTATCCTTCTGAAAGAAGAAAAGTTTCCCTCTTTCTTATTTATCTATTTGTTGTTTATTTATCTATTTGTTATCTGTGTGGACTTGAGGATTCTGTGTGATCTGGCCAATTTTAACCAGCTGATAAAATTTATCACCAATAAGCAACAAACATAATATAACAAAAGAACAGAATATCATTTATGTAGCATTCTAAACAAAAAAAACTGGCTCTATTTTGTTTCCAAAAAAGTCAAAAGTATGAAATATGAAGTAAGATTTAAAGGAATTATTCTAGGGAAAACAAAGAAGATTGAATAAAAATGAAAACTAAATGCAGTAATAATCCTGGATAGCCTGTGGAAGGAATACAAACCCAAGAAGGAGTAAAGCTTTCTGGCCTTGGAAATTAGAAACTTATGGTGGAAATTAAGGTTGTAAAGAACTGGAGAGAAAATCAGCAGCTGAAAAGAAGCCAGCAGAAAACTACCTACCAAACAGGAAAACAAATCTGTTGCTTAAACTTTTCTATATTTCTATATTTCATAACAAATTTCAAATATTAAGAGTACTTTTCCCAGAGCATCTAAAAGTAGCCACTCTGTCATTCACTCTCATCTTCATAATTTAATTATCTACAAATCCCTTGACATGATATATATTTGTTTTTATCCTTTATATGATCAGAGAACTTTGGTTTACTTCTAGATCTTTAAGTTTTAATAGGGTGTTTAGCACAAAAAAAGGTCCTCTGTGTAAATAAATTACCCCTTTCTAGCAATGAGGTAAAGAGAATTTGTTTCAAGTCTACTGCCCTCTCACATTTTCCTCTAGTCACTATTTGTTTCACCGAGAAACATTTTTTAGGGAGGACCAGTTATTCCACATATTTTCTATGTTTACATAGAGAACTGTATAGTAACAGTTCATGCCTCTTTCATCAAAACCTTACTCACTCACCCCCAGGGAAGAAGACTTCTCTGACTGGTAAATTTGTAAAAGAAAGTGAGCACACATGACTCAGCTACTCCTGGACTTCCTGGAAGGATCTGCCTCTCTCTAGATCGGATTAATGCTTACGTGATACTTCATGATATAATATCAGCCATGTTTTCTAACTCTGCCAGTGACTCACTTATTTGCTGTGTCTCATTAGAGGTGTAGTAGCCCATATTGCTGTAGTAGCCCATATTGCCAAACAGTTATTAGCAATAGAGTTAAAAGATTCTGAACCACATACGCTTAATTCCTGTGTTTACGTCTCAGTTAGCTCTGGAGTCGAATGGGAAGAGAGAGGCTATTTATTTGATCCCTTAAAACCGTCACAACTAAAAATCTTAAGAAACCAACATTTGTAGATACTGCCTTTTTTTCCCCATAAAGATTGAAGATGTGACAGGTTATTCTTCCCTGCAGAAATATAGCCTTTTATTTCTCTTGCCATCAGGAAAATGCACAAGGATTGTATATTAGTCCATTTTCACGCTGCTGATAAAGACATACCAGGGACTAGGAAGAAAAATAGGTTTAATAGGCTCACAGTTCCACATGGCTGGGGAGGCCTCACAATCATGGTGGAAGACAAAAGGCACTTCTTACATGGTGGTGGCAAGAGAGAGTGAGAATGAGAGAGAAGGAAAAGCGGAAACCCCTCATAAAACCATCAGATCTCGTGAGACTTATTCACTACCATGAGAACAGTATGGGAGAAACCGCCCCCATGATTCAATTTTCTCCCACCAGCTCCCTTCCCACAACAGATGGGAATTATGGGAGTACAATTCGAGATGACCTTTGGGTGGGGACACAGAGCCAAATCATATCAGATTGCATCAGACAAAATTTAAAAGTGTATATACATCAGGAATATCTTAGGACTGAAAAGAAATCATAAAAATATAAACCCACTCACAGGGCACAACAGTCCCCAGTTTGTTAATTTCTTTTTGAGGGTATCTTTTCTCTAAGAAAATAAATTTAAAAATGAATGAAGAACATTACCAATCTCAAATCATCCCCAGCTATAATGTCCTTATTTAGGCATTTGATCATGTATTTCCACTATTACACATAGCTCTTTCAAAAATACATGTTGAAAAATATTTAGAAGATATTTCAAAAATATTTAGAAATATTTATAACAATATTTGGAAGAAAACTATTTAAAAGAACTAATTATCAGAGAAATGCAAATTGAAACTACAATGAGATACCACCTTACTCCTGCAAGAATTGCCATAATTAAGTCAAAACATAATAGATGTCAGTGTGGATGTGGTGAAAAGGGAACACATTTATACGTAGGTGGGAATGTAAACTAGTATTACTTTTGCACCAACCCAATACAACCATGTGGAAAACAGTATGGAGATTCCTTAAACAACTAAAAGGAGAACTACTCTTTCATCCAGCAATCCCACTAATGGGTATCTGCCTAGAGGAAAAGAAGTCATTATATGAAGAAGACACATGCACACAAATGTTTACAGCAGCACAATTAGCAACTGTCAAAATATGAAACCAACCTGAGTGCCCATCAACCAATGAGTGGATAAAGAAAATGTGGTATATATACACCATGGAATACAACTCAGCCATAAAAAGGAATGAAATAATGGCATTCACAGAAACCTGGATGGAGTTGCAGACCATTATTCTAAGTAAGGTAACTCAAGAATGGAAAACCAAATATGATATGTTCTTACTTATATGTGGGGGCTAAGCTATGAGGATGCAAAGGCATATGAATAATGCAATGGATTTTGTGGTGAAAGGTTAGGAGGGGGCTGAGGAATAAAGGACCAAATATTGGGTACAGTGTACACTGCTCGGGTAATAGTTGCAACAAAATCTCAGAAATCATGACTAAAGAACGAATCCATGTAACCGAAAACCACCTATACCCCCAAAACTATTTAAATAAAATAAAAAAAATTTAAAAAAAAAAAAAACAAGACAAAAAAGCAATTTGGAGGGAAGGGATGTAAAAATATCAGACTTTCCTCAATGTTTCATGTCTCTGTTTCGCTCATATGGTCCAATCAATAAAATGAGAATTTTCTCTTTTCCTTCTTTTCTAAACCAGAGACTTTGCTAGTTTTTAAAAATTGTATGTAGAGTATATTAATAGTACTTTTGCCTTTTTAAACCAGTTGCTGAATGATAAGCAATAATGGAAGGAAACTATGAAAATCACACTAGAGTGTCAATGAAAATCATCTACAGTTGATGGTATCTAAAAGCGATATGACACTTCTGAAATGGCCTTGTGACATCATCTCTGAATAGAGAAGTTGAATGAAATAAGTTTGCAAGCACATTCTGTAAGGTGAGAGCACTTTAAAAATAGTTTTAAAAAATTATATTACTGAAAAAGTAAGGAGGTAAAATATTTTGAGAGTCAATGTCCAGTACATGACATAGTGGTTATTGGTGGCTTATATCATACTACATTGTGATATCAAAACAAAGGAACAAAAAGTAAACTTAATTTTTTTAACATTTTTTAACCATCAAAACAGAATATCAGCAAATTTTTATAAACTCTCCCATTAAACAACGTTTAATCCTCATACTACAGATTATTTTTATATCCAATATTGCTAGGCAAATTTGTAATTTATTTATCAGGTCAAAAAGTTTATAGTCTGCTCTGTATAAAACAACTTAGTTCTTCATGAATGCTTTTTGTGTCAGAATTCTGTTAATGTACTTTTATATGTCATTTTTTATCATTAAAATACTTTTGCATTATTTTTGCAAAAAAAAAATTGTTTCTCAAATTGCTTTCTGAGTGTTATTTCCAGTTCATGCTAATGTGCACAGCCTACGGAGGACAGGCAAAATGACAAGTGATGACGTTGCAGCTGCTAAAAGGGTACTTGTACTAAGAAAATATTTTTATCACATAATTATCCACTGAGCCAAATTACAAATACATACCATTTATACTTTAAAGTTTAAAGTTACTTTTCCATTAAAAGGAACACTATCATTTTATGTTAATTATAATGAGAAGTAATGTGCCCATAAAAATTTGTATCTGATAAGAAAAATTTGTATCTGAATACAGAGATAGGAAGAGAGTTTAAAAGGGCAACAAAATTGCTAAATTATTTACTTATAGGACTTCATAGTTAAGAAGATGAAAAAGAAGTAAAGAAAGAAAACAAGAAAATGGAGAAAACAAAATAATCTTAATTTCTAAACTAATTAAACATGCATTTAAGCATGGCAAAATATAGCATTTGAAAGTAATTTATTAGTGTTTTGTGGGTTTCACCGAAAGTCTTTTCACTTTAGCTACAAAACAGAACATCACCACATTTCTCCAGTTATATGAGTTTCACCTTCCAATGTAATTTTGAAACATCTGAATTTTAGCTTTAAGCAATCTACTTGACTGTTTGATTGCACTTTTCATTATACTGTTCCAAGCCAAGACTTCTCACAAGTTGCAGAACATTCTAGTGGATTTCCTTCACAATTTATATGATTGAATTTCAAGTATCGATTCAAAACTGATAGTTCCATATAATTGTTGCCAGGAATTTTGTGAAAGAGAGGTCAATTTTTAGGCCTATTTGCATGTCCACAACAATAAGAAAAAAATGTAAGCACTGACTTCTTAAATTGTATGTTGTGTGACACTGCTTTTGACTATTGCACTGGTTAAGGGTGGGGTGACCTTATTGTACTGTTCATTGTCATGCACATTGTGGAGGTATCAATAGTACATCAGTCATGGCGTTTGTATTTTCAGATGGCACTTAATTAATTTCTTTGCTCACACATTTCAATAGTTTCCACCTATTCCCTTAAACTATGGTTTTTAACAAACTGTCTATCTTCCTCATTAAGCATATTGACATGACAAAATTAGTATAATGCACTGAGAAGAGCACAACATCATCTTTGTTGTATTCTTGCCACAAAGGCATGGCCTCATTCTAATTATCAGAAAATATTGTACAACCGCAAATTGAGGAACAAAATTAACTGATCAAAAATAAAAAGAACTGATCAACACTCTTTAAAAGCATTAATCAAGTTCAGGAAAGACAAGGAACTCCCACATACTGAAGGAGAATAGTGATAAATAACTAAAGGCAATGTGGGATTCTGGATAGGATCCTCAAATAGAAAAAGGGATATTTATGGAAAAATTGGTGAAATTTGATAAAGGTTTTCAGTTTAATTAATGATATTGTAGCAATGTTAATTTTCTGCTCTTGATAATTGCACTATGGTTGTAAAATTTGTCAGCAAAGAAGGAAATATGTTGAGGAATATAGGGGAACTCGTGTACAATCACTGCAATTTCTCTGTAGGTTTATAATTAGCCCAGAATTTTTAAATGGTTTAATATCATAAAAAGTTTATTTTACTCTACAATAATCATCAATGAATGATATAAAATGACACAGACCAGAATTTTTATTTTTAAAAATTCATAATATTGTAATACAAGAAAGTAAAATATAGCTAGAATTTCTGAAATAAAGGTATTTTTTATACATATACAGCATATATAAATAATAAATTACAGCAGGAAGGTAAACTTATCTCTGGGAGTCAATGTGTGTGAGTAGACAGGCTTCCACCTGCCAATTTACCTTGTGCTCTGCAGCAGGAGCATTACCTATGCAGGCTAGTGACAGCGATTCGTTTTGCTTTGTTGTAATAGTGAGCTCTGTTGACCCTAACCCCAGGTGCGTGGTTGTCTCAAGCTGACACAGGTGAAGGCTACGAGTTTCTTTAAAATAGAAATGGATACAGTTCACTGAACACAAATCTCTGCATTAGGCAAGTTATACAGCAGTCTCAGTCTGAATGGAGTTGCCAAAACCTCCAAGAACCAAAGAGGTGGCATGCTGCTGATGCCGCCAACTGAGAGGTTGAAGGTAGAGGTGCATAGCGATAAGTATCTCTTAGTTCCTTCCAGAATATCCTTTTACATTCTCACATGGATTTTTATTCCTTTCCAGAACTTCTCCAGAGACATGGGCTTTAGGTATGTCTGCCCAGGAGTGCCAGTTACCAGTAAGAGTTTCAGTTCATGTTTATTCTGCAAAACTGGGTGAAGAAAAGTTCATTTATCAGAAATACTTTCTCCATAGAAGGTCTAAACTTTCGACCAGACTGAAGTCTATTCATGTAATCAACTGTCTTTAATATTCAATGTTCTTACTACAACAGCTGGGCAGGATTGTCTTTCCCTCCCTGAACATTTCTTCCCTCTTTGTCAGAAAACAAATGAATGTCCTCAGTATTATCAGAGTAAGTCCTTTATCTACCCAAGGGTGCCAGGATATTTTATCAAGTAAACAAATTAAAATATTTCACTTTCATTTGCCAACTGAATGATTCCCGCTCCTTTGTCCACCAATCCCCACCTCACTTATTAATGTTCACTGAGCAATAAGGCACCACTTGATTTGTTGATTCTAGGACAATAATAAGTGAATAATAGAGCACCACTTGATTTGCTCATTTTAGGACAATAACAATTCAAGATCATCTTAATCCAAAGGTTCCCAAATGTTACTGTACTTAGAACTACCTGGGGAATTTATAAAACCCCGATGTCTATGCTGCACTGCATAACAACTAAATCAGAATATTTGGAGGTGAAAAACAGGCATCAATCATTTAGAGCAACATTACAAACAAATAAAAATGTTCAAAATTTTTTTCTATTAAACACTTATGAATTCTGAATAAAATGAAATAAATGCTGTTCAAAAGGTTTTGCTGAGCTTACAACAAATTAAGGCAAATCATTGGTTTTGAGGTGATCCACAAAACCAATAATCATATAAAAATGCTCAAACTCTTTAGTAATTAGGAAAATGCAAATTAAAGCAATAATTACCTGCAATTTTACACCCGTTACATTGGCAAAAATTTTTAAAAATAACAATAACTAATGGCAAGATATGGGGCAAAGGGAACTCTTATTCACTGCTGACAGATTTTAAATAGGCACAGCCCCTTTGGAGAGCAATTTTATACTCTCTAGTGAAGTGGAAGATGCACATATATTATAACTCAGCAATTACACTTCCCCTGTGGCCGTATGTGTCCAGGGAGAGGAGCACAAGAATGTTCATTATAGCGTTGTTTGTAATATTGAAAAATTGAAGGCTGCTTGAATTTGCATTGAAGATGTTGTATTATTCACTCATAGAGCAAATTATAGGCACTAAAATGAAGGAACAAGAGCTGCTTATATTAATGTGGATAATTATTGAAAATATTGTAAAAATAAATTTCAAAATGATCTTAAAATATATTATCTTTAATACAATGTTAATACATGCAACGTAAATTACATGCTGCTGGGAGGTAACTACATACAAGATAACGTGTTAAAATGTGCATAAGAATTTAAGTGCCAAGTTCAGGTTAAAGGTTACCTCTGAATAGAGACAATGGAGATGAGATATGGCCAGAATAAATTGGAGGCTTTGATTGTATTTTGTTTCTTTACTTTGTAGTAAATGTTTCCAATGTGTACTATATTATTACGTTTTCTTGTGCCAAAAATAATTTAGCAAGCAATATATTGCTTAAGGTACACTTTAAGCACTGAAAATACTTTTGTTTTTCAACTTGGAAGTCTCCATCTAAGCAGATAATAATTTCTGAACTCATCTTTTAACATTATTTTAAACCTGTAGTTATAACTGCCTAGACCAGAAAGTTTTATTGCACACCTTTTGAGTCTGGATTGCTGACAGTTAAATTCTTCAACTTATAATTACTTTTCAAAATGAGTAAAATGTTAACTTTTTTCTTAGACTATTGCTATTTCCATTGCTCCATAATCGTACCACATCTAAATGTTGGCAGATACTGATTTTCTGACCACTTCTGAAGACAGATATACCTGCATGAGAATGAAGAATTGCTCGCCCTATTTACTTGCACAAACAATGCATTAGTGCTCAATTTCTGCGTGGAAAGTTCTGACTGCCACTCCACAGGGCTTACAGGGGTCTGCAGGCCCTCTGCATGCTCAGTGTTATCATTCCAGATATTTTGAGCTCAAGGACTGCAATCCAGAGTTTCATTTCTAGTTTACCTTATCATTATCTAATTGTTTTCTGCTATTTCTGTTAATGATGTATTCACTCCTAATTTTAGGAAAAGTTGATAAAATTAATCATAGGACAGTAAAGGGATCCTCTTTACACACTACTCCCTTTACAGTGTAGTTGTTACCTCGTGTACTCCACTGAGGGAAAAACCTAACAAAAACAAAAACTTCTATTTTAAATCCCCAAAACATTTCAAGTAATGTAGTACCAAAGATCTTCTGGACAAAAAACAAACAACAAACAAACAAACAAAAACCCTGGTAATCTAGCATAATTTTGCATCTCTTTGACATTCTTATATCATCATAAAAATAGCAGATACTGTTAGGTAAATTAATGTCTGCTGTTAATCTGGGCAGTTGTTATAATATAATGGTAAAGACATTTAAAAATTATTCTAAGTGATAGGATAAAAATCATCCAATGCCCTATAATATTGCTTCACAGAAAAGACTACAAAGAAAGAGAGACACAAAAGCAACCCTAATTGATTAGGCAAATTTCTTTATCATTCAGACTCTTCACATCCAATCTGATGCTAATAACATTTACGATGAAGTGAGGATTTCTTCTGGTCCTTCGAGAAACTGTGTTTTGCAATGCTCCTAAAGTTTCCAACCTCCCCTAATTGCTCTAGAAATTCTCCTCACATGCCTACCTGACCACCAAGTAAAGGTGAAAACTCCAGCATATTCCTGAATCTTTACTAACAGATAAGGTAAAAAATTGTAATTTTAATTTTTCAGGTTGAATTTCCTAGCTGAATCATTTTCCTAGAAGACCCATATTTTAGGCCTACTTTAAGTACCGTAATTTGCAGATTACTAAATTTACATAAAATTATTCTCTAGGCTTTCTCAAAGTTAAAACAAATCTTGAAATTGACATATATGACTGTTTTTTGGGTCAGAATTCTTGATAACGAAAAACAAAAACAAAACAAAAATCACTAGCAGAAAAGCATTGTTAAATGCATAAATAACAAAATTATTCTAAAAAATTTGTTCTAAAAAAACAAATTCTAGAAATAACTTTCTACCCTACACTGTAGAATAGGTGAATTAAAAGAGTTGTTGGCTCTGTCATAATCAGAATATGACAATTCAAGAAGCCATTCCACACCTGGAGTTGAGAACTTTGTAAAAATTGGCATCAGGACAAGATACACACCGTACCCTAATTCTTTATCCATACTTTTAATAAAAATTTCTCTCAGGTACATGTGAATGGTAGATATAAATTTCATATCTGAGCCTTAGCAATAAGGAAGAAAATGATTTTTTTTGAGTAAAGAGTTTTAATTGTAGGGAAGATCCTCTATTGGAAAGGCAATATTTATTCAATGGGGACTAGTAAAATGTAAACTGTAGAGAGAGTTACCAAAATACGTAGACAATTGCCCAACTCCTATTGTTATTCTAGTGTGAAGGCCATTAGTCAAAAAGAATCCTTTCTTACTTGGGAGAGAGTCAGGCTTTAGTTTTATTCAGGCCTTCAACTGATTGGCTAAAGACCCACCCACATTAGGGAGGGCAATCTACTTTACTCAACTATCAATTTAAATGTTAATCTCATCAAAAACACCCTCACAGAAACACCCAGAATAATGTTTGACCAAGTGTCTGGGCACCCCTGGCCCAATGAATTTGACACATAAAATTAACCATCATATTATGCTTAGCTAGAAAGTGAAGTCCATAAAAACCCTAGAAGAAAACCTAGGCAATAACATCGAGGACACAGGCATGGGCAAAGACTTCACGACTAAAACACCAAAAGCAGTGGCAACAAAAGCCAAAATAGACAAATGGGATCTGATTAAACTAAAGAGCTTCTGAACAGCAAAAGAAACTAGCATCAGAGTGAACAGGCAACCTACAGAACAGGAGGAAATTTTTGCAATCTATCCATCTGACAAAGGGCTAATATCCAGAATCTACAAAGAACTTAAACAAATTTACAAAAAAAAAAAAAACCATCAAAAAGCAGGCAAAGGATATGAACAGACAATTCTCAAAAGAAGACATCTATGCAGCCAACAAACATGAAAAAAAGCTCATCATCACTGGTCATCAGAGAAAGGCAAATCAAAACGACAATGAGATGCCATCTCACACTAGTTAGAATGGCAATCATTAAAAGTCAGGAAATAACAGATGCTGGAGAGGATGTGGAGAAATAGGAATGCTTTTACACTGTTGATTGGAGTGTAAATTAGTTCAACCATTGTGGAAGACAGTGTGGGGATTCCTCAAGGATCTAGAACTAGAAATACCATTTGACCCAGCAATCCTATTACTGGGTATAATATACCCAAAGGATTATAAATCATTCTACTACAAAGATACAGGCACACATATGTTTATTGCGGCACTGTTCACAATAGCAAAGACTTGGAACCCACCCAAATGCCCATCGATGATAGACTAGATAAAGAAAATGTGGCAAATATATACCATGGAATACTATGCAGCCATAAAAAAGGATGAGTTCATGAGAACATATGGACACAGGGACGGGAACATCACACACTGGGGCTTGTCGGGTGGTGGGGGCTAGGGGAGGGATAACATTAGGAGAAGCACCTAATGTAGATGACAGGTTGATGGGTGCAGCAAACCACCGTGGCACGTGTACACCTATGTAACAAATCTGCACATTCTTCATGTGTACCCCAGAACTTAAAATATAATAATAAAAAAAGAAAGTGAAGTCTACATGAAGTTCTTCTGTGTCTTTATGTTTGTATTTCAGTGATTAAATGTACATAGTATAAAGTGATTACCCATTAAATACTGAATGGATAATTAAAGAACCAAATAAGTGAATGGACAAGTAAGTGGAGCAACAAATTTACTCAAATTATATGCCAAATAAGCATGCAATACTAAATTCAACTTGTAGATCTGTCATGACTTATTTCACTTCAGACATGTATTTTCATAGTAAATTATGCTCTTCTCATTAGATAAAATTATGTAAGAGAATCCAGTGAATATGGACATGAAAAATAATTTGAATAGGTAAAATAATATAAACCAGGTTTATAGCTTTCTAATATTATGTTATTAACAAAAATCACCTCACTTATAGTAGAAATTATTATTTTAGGGACAAAGTTATTCATCATGTTATAAAGGAGAAACCATTGTTCTCAATTTGTATCAATACACCTGAGACCATAGTATAATCCAGAGATTATCTCTTCAATTCCAGATATTGTTAATTTATGTTATTATTTTCTACTCAAGCAATGTGTTTTAAACACATTTTGAAAACTTTCATGATTCAGAGTAATATACTATCTCTGCCTAAAATCAATTTTCCACGTAAAGAGAGCAATTCACAGAATGATACTCAGTGTCAGGAAGGGATAGCATTTGAAGGAGTATTTCTTATTAATAATTGCAAATGCTATCATCCAGTTGAAAGAATCTCTTACAAACCACTTATTAATTATGATTATAGAGAGTTTCCTTTCATAAATAGTTTCAATGACTCTTTGTATTACCAGAATGTCATTATTAGTGTCACAACATATGATAATAATTAAATAATGAACTAACTAAAGTGAGTGAAGTAATATTGGCAGGAGTGAGTACTCCAGTTTTATTGATCACAACTGTTCTCATATTCAGCATTATCATTCATTCATTCATTGCCTTTGTCTTAGGTTAAAAATATATATCATTTTAGCTTTGAGGGTTTTTTGTTTTGTTTTTTGTTTTTGCCATTTTAAGAATAAACTGATATGCTTTTAAAATTGTATATAATTGTTTTAAAGAAGTACTATTTATGAGATGTTTCTGCTAATGTTAGTGATGTATGATAAGGCTCCAGCTATCTATGGTAAGAGAGCACACAGAAGCCAGCATATCAGGAAAATAGTAGATCAAATTAATCAATACTGAAACACAGGAAAGCTATAGCTTGAAATTATTTTGACTTGCAACTAGGATAATTCATCTATGTTTGTTAGCTAAGTAAAATCTGAAGGAAACAATTTTCTTCCATAGATGGAAAGATTAATTGCAATGTTAAGCAAATCTCTTTCACACACGGGATGACTCATTTTTTAATTTGGTTAACAGTACATTAATCATTGCAGATGAGGATTCTGCTAGAGTCTAATTAGTAACTAGATAGTGCTTATAATACGTTTTCTTCAGAATTATGCTGCTTAATTTTCTACCTAGATCCTACCATGTTTGCATCTCATTTTAAAAAGGTAAATGGGACAAACTATCTATTAAACTTTTAAAATAAAACTATTTTTATCTAAAAAGGTGACGACAGCAAGAGTTAGCTATCAATATCAATGCTAAGCTAATGAAATGGCATAAATTTATACTCTTATGTATCATCTCCCATATAAGTCTACTATAACAGATGGAAATAAATCTTTGAACAAAAAGAGGAAGGTGAAGGATAGCACTTTGAATTCTATAAAGAATATTTTAGAAATATGATTTCAACCAATTGGTTGAAGATATAAAGTCAGTATTATCTGTGCCAGTTCATATGAATCTCTCAGGAATTCAGGATTTTAATTAGACTGGTAGAAAATCAACTCTGTGTTATTTTCACTACAGAATTTCTTATTAATCTGTTTCATAAGTCAGTCTTCTGTTTTGTGTTAGTTATATGTTCTATTAGAATAATCCATACTTATTGCTACATTCCTGTTATTCTGTCTTAACATGCATTAATAAATAAAAGTCACAAATATGAATCATGCATGCTGTGACATTTTCAGGGGACTGAAACATTATAATCAGTGTCATTCATGAAGTCAGGACTCCTGGTTGCCTCTTAACTAATAATAATAGCAAAGGGCATGAATTCCACTTTATAGGCTTTTGTTCTACTTTCAAACTGACAAGGCATTACAATTCAAAACTGATGGATCCATTATTAGGTTTCAGAGACACATTACTTGTAATTCTGGAGAGTCATGAAATGTACTGTTTCTTATCCCCTAAAACTCCAAGCCCTGTTTTTTCTATTTTTATGCTCTGTGAATGAAAGTACAGGCACTAAATTTGATGTCTTCCCTCTGTTACCTGCATGAAAGACATAAATAATCAGAATACCGTGAAATGATTATATTCACTTTTAAATTTAAGATAATTTTAATGACACATGTTTGTAATGTATTTTCTATTATACAACATAGTTTTCCAGACATTGTTTCAATTTTATCACAACTCTCATTTAATGACAAGGACAGGTATTACTAATTTGCTTTTAATAAAACATGAAGATCTTAGGGCAAAATTAATGAATTTGTTCTAAGTCGAATAGCTAGTAAGTATGAGAGTCAGAATTTCAACCCAGTTCTCTAAGTGTTCAAACTAGTTTTCTTTCTCTTATGCAGACTTGAATTTTAACTGCTTTTGTCCTTTTTTTTTTGTCTTTTTGCTTTTTTTTAGCTTTATGTGGAAGTCACCAAATGGTTTTACTAAGCGTCACTGGCTCTAAGGTAGAACTCAATACTTTTGTCATTTGAAATGGTTCAAAATCTGGTTCAGAAACCAGTTTGTATGCTATTTATTGGTTAAAGGTTCTTACATATATACTCATACAGTAAGCAGACATATGCTTATCCAGTTAAGAATACATATACAGCCTATTGCTGCTGAGTATCATGAATAGCTAGCAAAAACAAAAGAGTAAATGTTAGTACTTGTTATAGTCAAATTCTCAGATAGAGGAATATCTAAGAAGACAAAGGCAAAAGTAAATACATGCATACATACATACATATGTCCATAGAAACAGACAGGCACAGAGACTCACAAACTTAATAATATGTGACTACATAGCCTTTATGTAAATTCCATTAAATAATATCTTAAAATAACTAAAATAAGACTCTAAACAAATTTTTTTAAATAATGCACACAAATACATTTTTTCTTGACATTTTCTTAAAATCATCTTAATAAAATGAGAGTTATAACTGGGTATGAGTATAATTAATTAAGAACATTTTAGGATTTGTCTAATAAATACACATCATTAGTTGAATTAATATCTCACCAATAGAGGCATCTAAACATGTAGATTACAGGAAATCTCAGTACCCACACTTTCATAATTCTGCTAATTTTGGTTTTAATAGGTCCTTTAAGGTAATACTTAGATTACCAAGTACTGAGTGCCTTTCAGGTGTTAGAGATATTGCATGAGAAGGGTGCTTTTCATTTTTTAGATTTAGAAACTAAAGCTTAGAAAAATAAAGCCACTTACCAAAGGTTATACATCTAGAAAGTGAATAAACACAGATCTCTCTGACTCTCAAACTCTTCGAATTCTACTGTATCTCACAGTGCCATATCTGAAATAATTTATTTACTCTCCAGATTTTTACAACCTGATAAGCCTTGAACAAATTTCTGAAGTTGGGAAAGAAACATTTTTTTACCTCTTAAATTGTGTTCCTCTGCCCTCTTGCTCCCCTCTAACACCTATAGAGTTTACAGTTCAAAAGGAAAATAAATTGCAAGATGTTTTGGAAGTGCAGAGTTAAAATGAAAAGCTAATATGGGGATTTAATCAAGAACTTACTTTTCCCCAATCCCAATTCAGTTATAGATACATTTCTAAGTCTTCTAGAATAGTCATGGAAAATTTTTCATCACATAAAATATTCTAGAAAACAGAAAAGTATGACTACTGTGATATTTTGCATACGACTTAGCAGCCTTGTAGGGAATGCTTAACCTTGTCCACAAGCCAGGGTAAAAGTATTAATGACCTCATTTTACAGATGCAAAAAGCCTAGGCACAGAGAAGTTAACGAATTGACCAAAATTACACAGTTACCATTGACAGAACGAGAATTCAAATACAGATTTGCCTGATTTAAATAAACTTATGTTCTAAACCATTTTGTTTCATTGCTAACGATTTTAATTGCATATAGTGTCTATTGCACATTTATTTTTAAATTTTCCTTTTCAATAAAATAATTTGCTTAAGAAAAATCGATGTTATAAAACTGCTTGTAAAGACAGACATTCTAAAACTCTTAGTAAAATATTACCAAGCTTTATAGAATTGATAATAAAAGTATGTTCACTTATTAAAGTTCACTTAAGGTTTATAAACAAGTAAGTCATTTCAGAAATAATCTTGGGAATGAATCAAATCCTAAGAGACAACTTTAGAATAAGTAAACTGCAATAAAAAAGCATGTGGTCAAGAGAACACAAGACAAAATAAATAACTTATTTACTTTTTAGCAGAAAAAAGATAGAGAATTAAAAAGGCAGGGGTTGCAATCCTAGTCTCTGATAAAACAGACTTTAAACCAACAAAGATCAAAAGAGACAAAGAAGGCCATTAGATAATGATAAAGTGTTCAATTCAACAAGAAGAGCTAACTATCCTAAATATATATGCACCCAATACAGGAGCACCCAGATTCATAAAGCAAGTCCTTAGAGACCTACAGAGAGACTTAGACTCCCACACAATAATAATGGGAGACTTTAACACCCCACTGTCAACATTAGACAGATCAATGAGACAGAAAGTTAAAAAGGATATCCAGGAATTGAACTCAGCTCTGCACCAAGCAGACCTAACAGACATTTACAGAACTCGCCACCTCAAATCAACAGAATATATATTCTTCTCAGCACCACATTGCACTTATTCCAAAACGGACCACATAGTTGGAAGTAAAGCACTCCTCAGCAAATGTAAAAGAACAGAAATTATAACAAACTATCTCTCAGACCGCAGTGCAATCAAACTAGAACTCAGGATTAAGAAATTCACTCAAAACTGCTCAACTACATGGAAACTGAACAACTTGTTCCTGAATGACTACTGGGTACATAACGAAATGAAGGCAGAAATAAAGATGTTCTTTGAAACCAATGAGAACAAAGACACAACATACCAGAATCTCTGGGACATATTTAAAGCAGTGTGTAGAGGGAAATTTATAGCACTAAATGCCCACAAGGGAAAGCAGGAAAGATCTAAAATTGACACCCTAACATCACAATTAAAAGAACTAGAGAAGTAAGAGCAAACACATTCAAAAGCTAGCAGAAGGCAAGAAATAACTAAGATTAGAGCAGAACTGAAGGAGATAGAGACACAAAAAAACCCTTCAAAAAATCAGTGAATCCAGGAGCTGGTTTTTTGAAAAGATCAACAAAATTTATAGACCGCTAGCAAGACTAATAAAGAAGAAAAGAGAGAAAAATCAGATAGACCCAATAAAAAATGATGAAGGGGATGTCATCATTGATCCCACAGAAATACAAACTACCATCAGGGAATACTATAAACACCTCTACGCAAATAAACTAGAAAATCTAGAAGAAATGGATAAATTCCTCAACACATACACCCTCCGAAGACTAAAGCAGGAAGAAGTTGAATCCCTGAATAGACCAATAACAGGCTCTGAAATTGAGGCAATAATTAATAGCCTACCAACCAAAAAAAGTTCAGGACCAGACGGATTCACAGCCGAATTTTACCAGACGTACAAGGAGGAGCTGGTACCATTCCTTCTGCAACTATTCCAATCAACAGAAAAAGAGGGAATCCTCCCTAACTCATTTTATGAGGCCAGCATCATCCTGATACCAAAGGCTGGCAGAAACACAACAAAAAAACAGAATTTTAGACCAATATCCCTGATGAACATTGATGCAAAATTCCTCGATAAAATACTGGCAAACCAAATCCAGCAGCACATCATGAAGCTTATCCACCATGATCAAGTAGGCTTCATCCCTGGGTGCAAGGCTGGTTCAACATATGCAAATCAATAAACATAATCCATCATATAAACAGAACCAAAGACAAAAACCACATGACTATCTCAATAGATGCAGAAAAGGCCTTTGACAAAATTCAACAACTTTCATGCTAAAAACTCTCAATAAATTAGGTATTGATGTGACGTATCTCAAAATAATAAGAGCTATTTATGACAAACCCACAGCCAATATCATACTGAATGGGCAAAAACTGGAAGCATTCCCTTTGAAAACTGGCACAAGACAGGGATGCCCTCTCTCACCACTCTTATTCGACATAGTGTTGGAAGTTCTGGCCAGGGCAATCAGGCAGGAGAAAGAAATAAAGCGTATTCAATTAGGAAAAGAAGAAGTCAAATTGTCCCTGTTTGCAGATGACATGATTGTGTATTTAGAAAAACCCATCATCTCAGCCCAAAATCTCCTTAAGCTGATAAGCAACTTGAGCAAAGTCTCAGGATACAAAATCAATGTGCAAAAATCACAAGCATTCTTATACACCAATAACAGACAAACAGAGAGCCAAATCATGAGTGAACTCCCATTCACAATTGCTTCAAAGAGAATAAAATACCTAGGAATCCAACTTACAAGGGATGGAAGGACCTCTTCAAGAAGAACTACAAACCACTGCTCAACGAAATAAAAGAGGATATAAACAAATGGAAGAACATTCCATGCTCATGGATAGGAATAATCAATATTGTCAAAATGGCCATACTGCCCAAGGTAATTTATAGATTCAATGCCATCCCCATCAAGCTACCAATGACTTTCTTCACAGAATTGGAAAAAACTACTTTAAAGTTCATATGGAACCAAAAAAGAGCCCACATCGCCAAGACAATCCTAAGCCAAAAGAACAAAGCTGGAGGCATCATGCTGCTACCTGACTTCAACCAATACTACAAGGCTACAGTAACCAAAACAGCATGATACTAGTACCAAAACAGAGATATAGACCAATGGAACAAAACAGAGCCCTCAGAAATAATACCACACATCTATAACCATCTGATCTTTGACAAACCTGACAAAAACAAGAAATGGGGAAAGGATTCCCTATTTAATAAACGGTGCTGGAAAAAATGGCTAGCCATATGTAGAAGGCTGAAACTGGATCCCTTCCTTACACCTTATAAAAAAATAATTCAAGATGGATTAAAGACTTAAATGTTAGACTTAAAACCATAAAAACCCTAGAAGAAAACCTAGGCATTACCATTCAGGACATAGGCATGGGCAGGGACTTCATATGTAAAACACCAAAAGCAATGGCAACAAAAGCCAAAATTGACAAATGGGATCTAATTAAACTAAAGAACTTCTGCACAGCAAAAGAAACTACCATCAGAGTGAACAGGCAACCTACAGAATGGGGGAAAATTTTTGCAATCTACTCATCTGACAAAGGGCTAATATCCAGAATCTACGAAGAACTCAAACAAACTTACAAGAAAAAAACAAACAACCCCATAAAAAAGTGGGCAAAGGATATGAACAGACACTTCTCAAAGAAGACATTTATGCAGCCAACAGACACATGAAAAAATGCTCATCATTACTGGCCATCAGAGAAATGCAAATCAAAACCACAATGAGATACCATCTCACACCAGTTAGAATGGTGATCATCAAAACATCAGGAAACAACAGGTGCTGGAGGGGATGTGGAGAAATAGGAACACTTTTACACTGTTGGGGGACTGTAAACTAGTTCAACCATTGTGGAAGACAGTGTGGCGATTCCTCAAGGATCTCGAACTAGAAATATCATTTGACCCAGCCATCCCATTACTAGGTATATACCCAATGGATTATAAATCATGCTGCTATAAAGACACATGCACACGTATGTTGATTGCGGCACTATTCACAATAGCAAAGACTTGGAACCAACTCAAATGTCCAACAATGATAGAATGGATTAAGAAAATGTGGCACATATACACCATGGAATACTATGCAGCCATAAAAAAGGATGAGTTCATGTCCTTTGTAGGGACATGGATGAAGCTGGAAACCATCATTCTTAGCAAACTATCACAAGGACAAAAAACCAAACACCACATGTTCTCACTCATAGGTGGGAATTAAACAATGAGAACACTAGGACACAGGAAAGGGAACATCACACACTGGGTCTGTCATGGGGTGGGGGGAGGGGGGAGGGATAGCAGTAGGAGATGTACGTAATGTAAATGACGAGTTAATGGGTGCAGCACACCAACATGGCACATGTATACATATGTAAAAAACCTGCACGTTGTGCACATGTACCCTAGAACTTAAAGTATAATAAAAAAATAGATAAAAAAGAGTGTTTATTATTTGTCAAATTGATGAGCACACCCTAGTTCCCCAGATATAGAGACTGGAGATTAGAGAATGTAGGCTTATTTTTTACAGGATATCAAACTAAGACTTTTTCAGAGCAATTTTATGTAACTTTAGCCACAAAAAGTCAGGATCTCAAAGCTGTTTCTAGAAAAGTAAACCTTTTAGATAATGAGTGTCACTGCAGAAATGCTACAACCGGGTGTCAGAATCAACTTGCTTAGAAATTGTGATCAGCATATTACTAATTTATTTACATAGCCAAAGTTCTGGTGCTGTAAACATTCTGTCAATCACTTCAGTCAATGATTTTTGCCCATGCCATATTAGTCAACTGAAATGTCTTCTTTTGTCTACCCAACTACCCAATCAAACTTTGTTAAAACCATCTGAAGTGCATTCTATATAATAAAGATATTTAGGCTCAGTTCATTCTATAATTTCTTCCACTATCAAATCCTATCATGCATTCTCTATACTATTCTTTCTAGGACTTTAAAATTATTATTTTGATAGTAGTTCAACACATTTATACTATGCTACTAAGATGGGTAAAAATATGGACCTTTATTTTTTATAACAGTTATTATCCTGTTCTACAGTCTACATTCCTTCTCAGTAGTGGAGAAATAAAAACAATTCAACAAACTAACAAATAATTAAGTAAAGTTACAATTATGGGTAAAATTTCATTTAAAACTGTCTCTTCCACATTGTTACTCTCTCTGTGTCTCTCTTTCTCTTTCCCACCTACCTTTGTCTCTTTCCTTCCTGCTCTGCCTCCTTCCCTCCCTTCCTCTTTCTTTTTCTGGGCACTGCAGATAACCCAAGGAGTTAAATGTTTCCTGATTTACAGAATTTATAATAAAATTATTCTACAATGGTTTTTACCATTTGTCAAATAAAGGTATTTCTAGGGCCGCAAATGATGATTTTCAGATCTAGAATAAGGAGATTTAAAGTAGATTTAAAAATTTTAGCGTCTCAAATTCCTGGCCTCAAGTGATCCTCCCACCTTGGCCTCCCAAAGTTCTGGGATTATAGATGTGGGCCAGTATGCATTATGCAGAATAGCAAAGACACAGAATCAACTCAGATGCCCATCAACGGTGGACTGGATAAAGAAAATGTGGTACATATGCACCATAAAATACTATGCAGCCATAACAAAGAACAACATCATGTCCTTTGGAGCAACACAGATGGTGCTGGAGGCCATTATCTTAAGCAAATTAATGCAAGAACAGAAAACCAAATATCACATATTCTCTTTATAACTGGGAGCTAAACATTTAGCACACGTGGACTCAAAGAAGGGAATAATAGACACTGGGCACTACTTGAGGGCAGAGGATGGACAAAGGATGAGGATTGAAAAACTATCATCTACTAGGTACTATGCTTGCTACCTGGATGATGAAATAATCCGGACACCAAATCCCTGTGATATGTAATTTTCCCATGTAACAAATATGTACATATACCTCCTGAACCTAAAATAAAAGTTGGAAAAAAGTTTTAATGTCACAGATTATTTTTATTTTGCAGATGGTATTATTTTTTTCCCATCTCGTACTTTCATCTCATAAAAGCAGCCATGTGTCTTCCTTTAATCTTAGTTGTATAATACCACCAAAAGCTCAATTTTTATAGTGTCCTTTCTGTTGTTTTTATTTTAATAAATTTTTTAAGATGGCATATTTTTTAACCTGTCTGTTTTCCAATTTGCACATAAAGTATAAGTTATTGTTAATCATCTATGGATTACATAGAAAATAAACCTTCTATATATAACATGCAAATAAATTTAAATAATAGCTGAAGAACTCTGTAATATACTTCCCTTATAAATACGTATATACAAAACTTACATGTTAACATATATCCAATAGGTAAATAAATGACAAATTTGAAATTATTCTTCAAAAATGAATAATTTTTAAGTGTATCAAATGGTAGAGTTATGAATACCAACAGCTGTGCAATTTACTTGGATAGGTAAATTAATTTCTCAGGTAACTATCTGCAAAATGCAAAATGATTTAGTTTTCATGGGTAATTATAAGTTTAAATAATAAACATATAAGTAAAGTAAACTAGTATTTTTTAGATTTACTTAGAAAATGCAAGAGATTTAAAACTGTCAAAGGCAAGGTGGCCGTAGCTACCATAATGGACAGCAGACACAAAAGCAACAATCAATATAGTCTGACCCATGTAGAGCTCTGGCATTGGCTAATTAATCAAGGTATTTCTAGAAGTGAAATTGATAGGAAGCCTACTGCATTCCTACTTAATTTATATAAGCAGAAAACTTCTAGGTCAAATAGACAAAAGACTAATTTAAATTACATAAACAGAATCATGGCCCGTCAGTCAATTTCTAGACTTGAGCCAGTTTACAGACCCAGAACCCCTTGAATGAAGGAGACACCAGGTCCCCTTGAGGAATGACTTCACTACACTACCGGCAATTTATGCTGTTAATCTCTCTCCCATCCTTCCCCAGGAAGACCTCTGGCTTTTTACCAGGGTAGCTGTCCATCGAGGAAAGGGAAATGATCAGACATTTCAGGGACTACTGGACACTGGCTCTGAGCTGATTTGATTGCAGGGAACCCAAAATGTCACTGTAGTCCTCCAGTTAAAATAGGAACTTATGGAGGTTAGGTAATTAATGGAATTTTAGCTCAGGTCCAACTTACAGTGGCTCCAGTGGGTCCCCAGACTCACCCTGTGGTCATTTCCCCAGTGCCAGAATGCATAATTGGCATAGACATATTTAGCAGCTGGCAGAACCCCCACACTGGCTCCCTGACTAGTAGGGTGAGGGCTATTATGGTGGGAAGCCATTTGAGCTGCCTCTACCTAGAAAAATAATAAATCAAAAACAATACTGCATCCCTGGTGGGATTGTGGAGATTAGAACCAACACCAAGGACCTGAAAGATGCAGGGGTGGTGATTCCCATCACACTGCCGTTCAACTCTCCTTTTTGGCCTGTGAAGAAGACAGATGGATCTTGGAGAATGAAAGTGGTTTATTGTAAGCTTAACCAAGTTGTGACTCCAATTACAGCTGCTGTACCAGATGTGGTTTCATTGCTTGAGCAAATTAACACATCTGGAACCCAGTATGCAGCCATTGACTTGGCAAATGCCTTTTTCTCCATTCCTGTCCATAAGGCCCACCAGAAGCAATTTGCCTTCAGCTGGCAAGGCCACCAAAATACCTTTACTGTCTTTACTATCCTACTTCACATGTATATTGACTATCTCTCTGTCATAATCTTTTTCAGAAAGAACTAGATCACTTTTTGCTTTCACAGGATATCACACTGGTTCATTACATTCATGACATTTTGCTGATTGATCCAGTGAGCAAGAAGTAGCAAACTCACTGGAGTTATTGTATAGACATTTGTGTGCCAGAGAATGAGAAATATATCCAAGTAAAATTCAGGGACCTTCCACCTCAGTAAAATTTCTAGGGGTCCAATGGTGTGGGGCCTGTCAAGATATTCCTCCTAAGGTGAAGTTGCTGCATTTGGCCACTCCTACAACCAAGAAGAAAGCACGCCTATTGTGCTTATTTAGATTTTGAAGACAACACATTCCTCATTTGGGTGTGTTACTCCAGCCCATTTATTGAGTGACCTAAAAGGCTGCCAGTTTTGAGTGGGGTCCAGAAT
This sequence comes from Homo sapiens, assembly GCF_000001405.40. NCBI lineage: Eukaryota > Metazoa > Chordata > Mammalia > Primates > Hominidae > Homo > Homo sapiens. Next base: position 74,065,425 of record NC_000012.12, read on the forward strand.
AGGAGAAGGCTCTGCAACAGGTTGATTGCTGTGCAAGCTGCTCTGCCACTTGGGCCATATGACCCATCAGTTCTAATGATGCTTTAGGTGTCAGTTGCAGATAGGAATCCAGTTTGGTGCCTCTGGAATGTCCTCATAGGTGAATCACAGTGGAAACCTCTACGATTTTGAAGCAAGGCCCTGCCATCTTCTGCAGATAACTACTGTCCTTTGGAGAGAAAGCTCTTGGCTGGTTATTGGGCTTCAGTGGAAACTGAACGTTTGACTGTGGGTCATCAAGTCACCATGTAACCTGAACAGCCCCTCATAAACTCAGTGCTTTCTAACCCATCTAGCCATAAAGTGGGTCACGCACAGCAACATTCCATCATCAAATGGAAGTGGTATATACATGATGGGGCTCGAGCAGGTTCTGAAGGCACAAGTAAGTTAAATGAGGAAGTGCCTCAAATGCCCATGGTCACCACCTCTGCCGCCTTACCTTCTCTCCCGCGGCCTGCACTGGTGCCTCAAGAGGAGTTCCTTATGACCAGTTGGCAGAGAAAGAGAAGACTAGGACCTGTTTCACAGATGGTTCTGCATGATATGCAGGCACTACCCAAAATTGGACAACTGCAGCACTACCGCCCTTTTCTAGAACATTCCTCAAGGACAGCAGTGAAGGGAAATCTTCCTTGTGGGCAGAACTTCAAGCAGTACACCTGGTTGTGCACTTTGCAAGGAAGGAGAAATGGCCAGATGTGTGATTATATACTGATTAATGGGATGTAGCCAAAGGTTTCGCTGGATGGTCAGGGGCTTGGAAGAAGCGTGATTGGAAAATTGGTGACAAAGAAATTTGAGGAAAAGGTATGTGGATGGACCTCTCTGAGTGGTCAAAAACTGTGAAGACATTTGTGTTCCATGTGAGTGCTCCCCAATGGGTGACCTCAGCAGAGGAGTATTCTAATAATCAAGTGGATAAGATGATCCATTCTGTGGGCACCTGTCAGCCTCTTTCCCCAGACACCCCTGTCATCGCCCAATGGGCCCATGAACAAAGTGGCCATGGTGGCAGGGATGGAGGTTATGGATGGGATCAGCAACATGGACCACACAAAGGCTGACTGGCTACAGCCACTGCTGACTGCTCAATTTTCCAGCAGCAGAGACCAACACTGAGCCTTTGATATGACACCGTGCCTCATGGTGATCAGCCAGCTCCCTGTCTCCAGACACCTCATACACGAGCATTCAGGCTGGCATCAGGCCAGTGCCTCTCTGGGACAGAGCTCCCACAGGAAGTATCAGGTTGCCATATTTGCTGGTTTGCAGCCTGCTCTGGTGATATCTCCAGGGATGGGAGGAAACAAGTTGAATAGGAGCTGGAGTGGACCTCATGGAACCCACAGCTGACCTAAAGAAGAGGGGCCTGACTGCTAAAAGAAAAACAATCAGCAAGCAACAACATCAAAGAAGAAGACACCACAAAACCCCATCCAAAGGTCAACATCCTCAAAGATCAAAAGTAGGTAAACCCATGAAGATGAGAAAAAAAGTCAACACAAAAGTGCTGAAAACTAAAAAAGCCAGAGTGCCTCTTCTTCAAAAGATCACAACATATCTCCAGCAAGGGCACAGAGCTGGGCTGAGGCTGAGGTGGATGAATTGACAGAAGCAGGCTTAATAAGATGGGAAATAACAAACTTCGCTGAGCTAAATGATTATGTTCTAACTCACTTCAAAGAAACTAAGAACCATGATAAAACAATACAGGAGCTGTTATACGTAATAACCAGTTTAGAGAGGAACGTAAATGATCTGATGGAGCTGAAAAACACAACATGAGAACTTCATAATGCAAACACAAGTATCAATAGCCAAAAAGACCAAGAAGGATAAAGGATATTAGAGCTTTAAAACCATCTTGCTGAAATAAGGCAGGCAGATAAGATTAGAGAAAAAATAATGAAAAGGAATGAACAAAATCTCTGAGAACTATGGGATTATTTTAAAAGACTGAACTTGTGACTGATAGCAGTTCCTGAAAAAGACAGGGAGAATGGAACCAAGTTGGAAAACACACTTCAGTATATCATCCAGGAGAATTTCCCCGACTTAGCAAGACAGGCCAACATTCAAATTTAGGAAATCCAGACAACCCCAGAAGAATACTCCATGAGAAAATCAACCCCAAGACACATAATCATCAGATTCTCCAAAGTCAAAATGAAGAAAAAAATGTTAAGGGCAGCCAGCAAGAAAGGCCACCTCACCTATAAAGGGAAGCTAATCAGAATAACAGCAGACCTCTCAGCAGAAACTTTGCAAGGCAGACGAGATTGGGGGCCAATATTTAACATTCTTAAAGAAAATAATTTCTGGCCTAGAATTTCATATCGGGCCAAACTAAGCTTCATAAATGAAGGAGAAATAAAATCTTTTTCAGACAAGCAAATGCTGAGGGAATTTATCACCACCGGGCCTGCTTTGCAAGAGCTCCTGAAGGAAGCACTAAATATGGAAAGAAAAACCATTACCAGCCACTACAAAAAACACACTGAAGTACACAGACCAGTGACACTGTGAAGCACATACATAAACAAGTCTGCAAAATAACCAACTAGCATCAGGATCTCAGGATAAAATTCACACATAACAACATTAACCTTAAATGTAAATGGGCTAAGTATCCCCAATTAAAAAGACACAGAGTCGCAAGCTGGATAAGGAGTCAAAAATCCATCAGTGTGCTGTATTCAAGAGACCCATCACACATGCAAAGACACACATAGATTCAAAATAAAAGGATGGAGGAAACTTTACCAAGCAAATGGAAAACAGAAAAAAGCAGAGGTTGCAATTCTGGTGTCTGACAAAATAGACTTTAAACTAACAAAGATCGAAAAAGACAAAGAAAGGCACTACATATTGGTAAAGGGATCAATTCAACAAGAAGAGCTAACTATCCTAAATATATATGCACCCAATACAGAAGCACCCAGATTCATAAAACAAGTTCTGAGGGACTTACAAAGAGACTTGGACTCCCACACAGTAATAGTGGGAGACTTTAACACCCCATTGTCAATATTAGACAAAACAGAAAATTAACGAAGATATTCAGGACTTGAACTCAGCTCTGGATCAAGTGGACCTGATAGATATCTACAGATCTTTTCACCCGAAAACAACAGACTAGACCTTCTTCTCAGCATCATATGGCACTTACTCTAAAATTGATCAAATAATTGAAAGTAAATCACTCTTCAGCAAATGCAAAAGAACTGAAATCATAGTCTCTCAGAACACAGCACAATCAAATTAGAACTCAAGATTAAGAAACTCACTCAATACCACACAACTACATGGAAATTGAATAACATGCTCCTGAATGATTCCTGGGTAAATAATGAAATTAAGGCAGAAATCAAAAAGTTATTCAAAACCAAAAACTAATAAAGTACCAGAATCTCTCAGACACAGAGAAAGCAGTGTTAAGGGGAAATTCATGGCAATAAATGCCCACATCAAAAAGAAAGATTTTAAATCGACACCCTAGCATTGCAAGTAAAAGAACTACAGAACCAAGAGCAAACAAACCCCAAAGGTAGCAGAAGACAAGAAATAACCAAGATCAGAACAGAACTGAAAGAGATAGAGACACGAAAAACCCTTCAAAAAAGTAATTAATCCAGGAAGTGGTGTTTTGAATGAATTAATAAAATAGATAGATCCTTGGCTAGATTAATGAAGAAGAAAGGAGAGTAGAATCAAATAGACACAATAAAAAATAATGAAAGTGTATCACCACAGACCCCAGAGATATACAAACAACCATCAGAGAATACTATAAATAGCTCTATGCAAATAAACTAGAAAATCCAGAAGAAAGGATAAATTCCTGGACACATACACTCTCCCAAGACTGAACCAGAAAGAAGTTGAATCCCTGAACAGACCAATATCAAGTTCTGAAATTGAGGCAGTAATAAATAGCTTACCAACCAATAAAAGCCCAGGACCAGATGAATGGGAAATTAACAGTTGATAGTATTAGTGTAGCCCCTCCAATTAAGTGCATTAGTAGGTGACCAGCTGTAATGTTGGCTTTTAATTGCACAGCTAGTGCTTTTGGTTTAATATAACTCAATTCTACCAGAAATACAAAGAGGAGCTGATATCATTTCTTCTGAAACTATTCAAAACAGTTGAAAAGGAAGGACTCCTCCCTAACTCATCCTATGAAGCCAGCATCATCCTGATACAAAAACCTGGCAGAGATACAACAAACAAAGAAAATTTCAGGCCAATATCCCTGGTGAACATTGATGCAAAAATTCTCAATAAAATACTGGCAAATCAAATCCAGCAGCACATCAAAAAGCTTATCTACCACAATCAAGTTGGCTTCATTCCCTGGATGCAAGGCAGGTTCAACATATGCAAATCAATAAATGTAATTCATCACATAAAGGTATCTAAAGACAAAAACCACATGATTCTCTCAATAAACATGGGAAAGGCCTTCAATAAAATTTAACATCCCTTTCTGTTAAAAACTCTCAATAAACTAGGTAATGATGGAACATACCTCAAAATAGTAAGAGCCATTTAGGTCAAACCCACAGCCACTATCAAACTGAATGGGCAAAAGCAGGAAGCATTCCCCTTGAAAACCAGTGCAAGACAAGGATGCCCTCTTTCACCACTCCTATTCAACACAGTATTGGAAGTTCTGGCCAGGGCAGTTAGGCAAGAGAAAGAAATAAAGAGTATTCAAATAGGGAGGGAGGAAGTTCAGTTCTCTTTCTTTGCAGATGACATAATCCTATTTCTAGAAAACCCCATCATCTCAGCCCAAAAGCTTCTTAAGCTTATAAGCAACTCAGCAAAGTTTCAGTATACAAAATCAATGTGCAGAGTTCACAAGCATTCCTACAACAACAGGCAAGCAGAGAGCCAAATCATGAATGAACTCCCATTCACAATTGCTACAGAGAGAATAAAATACCTAGGAATACAGCTAACAAGAGAAGTCAAGAACCTCTTCAAGGAAAACTACAAACCACTGCTCAAGAAAACCAGACAGGACACAAACAAACGGAAAAACATTCCATGCTCATGGATAGGAAGAATCAGTATCATGAAAATGGCCATACTGGCCAAAGTAATTTTTAGATTCAGGATATTCTCATTAAACTACTGTTGACATTCTTCATAGAATTAGAAAAAGCATTTTTTTAAATTTATATGGAACCAAAAAAAAGCCCATATAGTCCAGACAATCCTAAGCAAAAAGATCAAAGCTGGAGGCAACATGCTACTGGACTTCAAATTATAAGGCTACAATAACCAAAACTATATAGTACTGGTACAAAAACAGACACATAGACCAATGGAACAAAATAGAAAACTTAGGAATAAAACACATCTACAACCATTGGATTTTCAACAAACCTGACAAAAACAAGTAATGGGGAAAGAACTCCCTATTTAATAAAAGGTGCTGGGAGAACTGGCTATCTATTTGAGGAAAACTGAAACTGGACTCCTTTCTCACACCTTATGCAAAAATTAACTGAAGATGGATTAAAGACTTAAACGTAAAACCCAAAACTATAACAAGCTTAGAAGAAAATCTAGGCAATACCATTCAGGACATAGGAACGGGCAAAAATTTCATAATGAAATCACCAAAAGCAACTGCAACAAAAGCAAAAATTGACAAATGGGATCTAATTAAACAAAAGAGCTTCTGCACAGCAAAAAACAAAAAACAAAAAACAAAAAACAAAAAAAACTACCATCAGAGTGAATAAGCAACCTACACAGTGGGAAAAATTTTTGCAATCTATCCATCAGACAAAGATCTCATATCCAGAATCTACAGGGACCTCAAACAAATTTACAAGAAAAAAAAATTAAAAATGGGCAAAGTACATGAACAGACACTTCTCAAAAGAAGACATTCATGCAGCCAGTAAATACATGATAAAAAGCTAAACATCACTGATCATTAGAGAAATTCAAATCAGAACTACGATGAGATGTCATCTCATGCCAGTCAGAACGGCCATTATTAAAAAGTCAAGAAACAACAGATGCTGGTGAGGTTGCGGAGAAATAGGAATGCTTTTACACTGTTGGTGGGAATAAAAATTAGTTCAATCATTGTTGAAGATGGTGTGGCAATTCCTCAAAGATCTAGGCTGAAATACCATTTGACCCAGCCATGTCATTACTGGGTATATACCCAAAGGAATATAAATCATTCTATTACAAAGATATATGCACATGTATGTTCATCACAGCATTATTCACAATAACAAGGACATGGAATCAACCCAAATGCCCATCAATGCTAGACTGGATAAGAAAATGTGGTACATATCCACCATGGAATATATGCAGCCATAAAAATAAATGAGATCATGTCCTTTGTAGGAACATGGATGAAGCTGGAAGCCATTATCCTCAGCAAACTAACTCAGGAACAGAAAACTAAACACCACAGGTTCTCACTTGTAAGTGACAATTGAATGATGGGATCACATGCCACATAGAGGAGAACAACACACACTGGGGCCTGTCCGGGGGTGGGGTGGGGGGAGGGAGAACATTGGGAAAAATAGCTAATTCATGCTGAGCTTAATATCTAGGTGATAGGGTGATAGGTGCAGCAAACCACCATGGCACATGTTTACCTATGTAACAAACCTGCACATCCTACACGTGTACCCCAGAACTAAAAACAAAAATTAAAAAAAAATTCTGATTCAATTTTGAAACTTGAAAAAATAAATAAAAAAATTTGTAAATTGGTAACTTTTAAAATTATTGCATTCTAATTCCAAACTTGCTCTTCTTACCTGAGAAGGAAATAGTTAACAAATGTTCAAAAGGTTAAAGTTTCAGAAAACAATGACTACTTTCATATATTAGAAAAAACTTTAAAGCTCAGAAGATTGACATAAATGTATATAGAGAATGAACGAAACTTGAAATCCTCAAATATCTGTCTTTGAGTTTATTTTAAGATTTTTTTCATTTTTCTTTTGGCTCCTTTCCCCTTCAGTGTAAGAAATGGAAAAAGTGTGTGTGTGTATATGTGTGTGCATGTGCGTGTGCATGTTTTTACTGAAGTATAGTAATGTCCCTCATATGATTAAATCCTTAGGGCATTAAGCAATCTCATGTGGAAAGCAGTAAATGGTTATATAAATATTTTCTCAGATAGTTAACAAAAAAGAGCCATTGTCTCAGTATACACTTTTAATTGAATGAAATATGAACTTGATTTTTAAAATATTTCTGAATCTTGCAAGATCCATTTGTGTGAATTGGTCATGGTCTTTTAAACTGTATATTTCTGTTGAAAACAACTATAATATTGATATTTGTCTATGTTCTTCTTACCTCCTTACTGGCACCACAGGCCGTAAGATTATTTTTACATCTTGATATTTAAATATAAATGTGTATTATTGACTAGGAACACTCTTAAGATTGGCTCTATCTTATAGCTAATAGGTTTAAATCTTTTAGTGAATGTTAGGAATAATCACTGCTTTTCATATTACATTGGAGAAAATAGTAGTTATAACTAACACATTTTTAAATGAAAAAAAAAGTTCTTACAGCCTGGAAAATAGCTTTTCTGTATCATTGAAGGTGAAAGGATTTCTAGGGAGAGAAAAACAAAACAAAACAAAACTGGCTCTGCCTACCTTAAATATCTTGTTTTGCTTCAATAAGGGGGATTTTCTGTAAATTTTATGCAGAATTGATTTACATTCAATGAATTCTTTAGAAGACAACTTAATTTACACAGGTATTACTTCCTGATAACAACTGGTTGGCCCAAACTGACACTAAAATATTACATGAGGGCATACGAGGGTGAGTAATTATAGTGAGTAATTTGGTGTCAAGTAAATTTTTTAGAACATTTGATAATTGATTATTCTAACTGGATCCTGAGACATAGGAGAATTTTGTGTAAATGAAGAAAGGATAATTTTGAGGAACAGCATCCTAGTCCTCCTACAAATTGCATTATTATTGCATGGTGGCTTATGGCAATTCTTCCATGAGTGTCTCTTATATGTCTATTTCTATTTTGCTACAGAATGTTAATTAAGTGTTAGCAGTTTCCTTTATTTTCTTTTTTTAAATCAACATGTACCCACATATAATATAATAAGTATATGTAATCACATTTTAATAAATACCATTTTCATTATTACCTTGGTTTTAGAAAAACTAAGAAGAAACAAATGCAGTTGCTCTTATTTTAAATAAAGCCTTTATAAATCTTATTCTTTACAATAACTATCTTGAACTAAAATTAATGGTTTCTTTTTTTCTATTATACTTTAATTTCAGAGATACATGTGCAGAACGTGCAGGTTTGTTACATAGGTATACACATGCCATGGTGGTTTGCTACATCCATCAACCCATCATCTAAATTAGGTATTTCTCTTAATGCTATCACTCCTCTAGCCCCTCATCCACTGACAGGCCCTGGTGGATGCTCACCTCCCTGTGTCCACGTGTTCTCATTGTTCAACTCCCACTTATGAGTGAGAACGTGTGGTGTTCGGTTTTCTGTCCCTGTGTTAGTTTGCTGAGAATGATGGTTTCCAGCTTCATCCATGTCCCTGCGAAGGACATGAACTCATCCTTTTTTAGGGCTGCATAGTATTCCATGGTGTATATGTGCCACATTTTCTTTATCCAGTCTGTTATTGATGGGCATTTGGATTGTTTTCTTACGGAAATTTAAATTGAAAGATTTTTGTTTTGGTATACTATAAATGTTATAGCATTTAGATTTATTTTAACCTCAAGTAACAAAATCACTTTTTCTCACCAAAATACACGATATCTCATTAAATTCTGTTGTCAACAAAGTTCAACCCTTAGTTTTCACATCAATTATATTATTCCTGGATCATTTCATCAACTTTCAGAAAACAGACTCTATGTTGATGACCCATATAGCATTGTTTCTAGTTTATACCTATTCCAGTATATATACCTGAAAGCATATAAAATTGCCTTCTGGACATTTGCACCTACAAGCTCCATAATCAAATTCAACATTTAAATTCAAATACAACATTTTCAAAAGAGAGCATATTTCCATTCTTCTCCTGGGTTAATTGATTGATTGTTACCCATCTCCACTTGCTAATGAAACTAGACAACTGAAAGATCTCCTACATTACCTTCTTCATCACTTATATTTCATTAGTTGCTATGAGAAAATTTCATTTTTGTAGTAAATTTAAAAAAGAAAACATTATGTTTGTGCATTTCTTTCAATGGCTTCCATTGGCTTCTCAGAATTCTCCTTTGTACTCTTTTCCACTCTTCATTACTCTAGAGGAAACCACAGCTCTGACAATCTCACTCAATATTATTAGAAGAGGAATTTCTCAAACATAGTCTATGAATACGTTCCGATTTAATAGTTATGGTTTTCTAAATTATTTGCAACAATTTACACCACCACAAGCAGCTGTTACAGTTATTACATATCCTTATCAACGCCATATATATATTTCCTTTTTTTAAAAAATTTTAGCCATTTAGTGACTGTATACTAGAAATACAATTTCATTTTGTGATACACAAGCTGAGAACTATTTTTACTGTTTTAGATTGTTGAGAAAAATCAAACAGTAAAATATTTTGTGACATGTAGAAATTACATAAAGGTAAAGTGTCAATGTTCACGTATAAACTTTTATCAGAATACAGCAATGCTTATTTGCTTATTGTACATAGCCACTTTTGTGCTACAACAGGATTAAATAATTGTGACAAAGACCATGTGGTGCTATTGTTTGTCATTACAATCTTCAGTGATGTAATTGTAACTTGACAATGTTCAGAGTGTCAGGCATATTGCTGTAACACATAATTTTAATTATTTTGTATTGCCAAGGTACATTCACCATGTCAAAATAAAAAAAAAGAAGAAAAATTTGAGCTTCAGATCTTGCCTTCATAAGTCACAGTGGAATGTGGATTATTTTGTTTGTGAATAGATGGCAAAGTGTTGTGTTTATTACTTAGCTATAGTAAGCTATGCTAAAATAATACAATATACATAAAGACTGCCAGACTAAGCACTACTCACAGTATTCCAAACTCACAGGAAAGAAATTATTAAAAAAATTAGAAAATGTAGAACAATTTTCTTATAAAAATAAACAATAAAACTACCTATTGGGTACAATGTACACTACTAAGATGATAGGTGCACTAAAATCTCAGACTTCACCACTATACAATGTATTCAGGCAAGCAAAACCCCTTGTACCCCTAAAGCCATTGAAATAAAAATTAAAAAATATAGTACTGCTACCAATATGTTTTTAATTAGCTTATTTATTAGCAAAGCAGAAAAAATCATTTATCAATGATGAATTATTAAATTGTTTTTGGTTGTAGCAGCTGGAGAAATAAGTTCAGAGAAAGTAAACTATTTAAAATAGTAGCTTTTTTAGGAGGACAGTTAATAGGCAAAAAAAAGAAGGCAAAGGCTGGCTATGGTGGCTTATACCTGTAATCGCAGGACTTTGGGAGTCTGAAGCATGAAGATTAGTTGATGCCAGAAGTTCAAGACCAGCCTAGGCAACAACATAGCAAGACCCTGCCTCTACAAAAATAATAATAATAAAATAAAAAATAATTTTAAATGCTTTTTCTTGGCTCTTGATGACTCAACAAGATGAATCAACAAGGTTATTGATTCATCTCAGTTGTAAGAGTTGATGAGAGACTGAAAAATTAGCCTGTCAGTAATCAGCACTAAATAACTACAGGGGATATTAGCTTTAAAGAAGGTGACAAAACACAATTCAGTAGAATCTGAAGTGGAATCTGCTAAGATGTGTTACAACCAATTGTTATTAAAAAGAATGTGGGAAGCAGAACAAGGTTTATTTAGACAGTGTTACAAAGCCTGTGAAATTACATAGCTATTAATTTTATAATTTATCATCAGGAACATCAAATCTATAATATATTATTAAACTAGTAGTGTATATAATATAAATTTCATCTGCTTCCATGAATTAAACATTAACAGTTCTGTGATGTGCTGATGTGCCCTACCACACAGTTCTACAGGGTAGCAGTGATTGATTTTATTGTATTTTTTTTTTGAGATAAGAGATGAGACTTAAATTTTTCAAAATGAAGAGATTCTCTCTCAACCAATATTATCAAATATTTAATGGCTTTGGATTTAGTTTTACTGAGTAACTCATAACATCTCTTAAGGAAGTTAGTCTAAAATTACAAACAAAATCATGCCTATATGAAAAACTTATACTGGGGAAAAGCCATTTTGATGATAACTGATTTCTTTATACCTAAAATAATGTTAAATTGTTTTATATACTTTCCATGATGTCAAATGTTGCCACACAGATTTGCAGGAAATGTATTTTGTGAGCCTAAACTACAATCATAGTAGTGATTTTTGAATCTTGATGCAAAGGCAAAAAAAAATCTACATTTCAAAATTAATTTAACTTCTCAGTTGAACAGCTTTCACCTATCCTACATTTGGAAGTGATTCATCTGCAATGCAATGACATAATAAAAGCACAATATAAAGAGAAGAATTACATACAGCCCAATAAATATTTTCAAAGTGATCACTATCAGTTTGAAATACTTGCAAAGTGATGACTATGCTCAATTTAAATATATGTTTATGGATTAATATCAGTATGTGGCAGTGTTAATCTGTCCAAAAGACATTTTTCAAAGTTGAAATACACTACATAGTATTCTACTAATCTAATTACCAGGAACCTGATTGCCAACCCAATTCAAGTATGTGAGGATGGCTACCTCATTAAACCTAATGGCTCCCTCTAGCTAGACATGAGTGGGGTTGCCAACTGTTAAATTTTCGTAGTCCAATCAAAAATGTGCTAGCAGCACTCTACACAACAACTATTAGAACTCCAAGTATGAAGAACAATTCTTTCCTATAACTAAGATTCTAAGAATAAAATTAAAAAGGAAAGAAGACTCTCAATGGGGGAATCTACAGCATCAAAAGATTATTTGGCAAAGCAAGATAACAGCTGTGGTGTAAGAAAAGCTTAATTTCATCGTATTATACAAAACTGAGAAAATTAAAACTGAATGAGAGAGCAGAGATCATTTTCTCTAATTTTTAGCAGCCAATTTTCATGTTTTGATAGGGATAAGTTGAATATAAAAATATAAATAAAATAATTATGTCTCAAATGAAATTTGTCACTTTACAAAATACCTATTATTTTAAAATCCATAAAGCACTCACTTAAACACTTTAGAAAATACCAACAAAATGCCTATATTTTATGAAGTGTCATTTAATAAAATAATCGTGCTTGTAGAGAGGTTCCTGGAGTTTGGTAAACTAATAAAATCCGGGTCCACTAAGCTTATTTCAGAACTTGATTTGTTTCACCTTGAGTTCCTCTTTCCCCTAGTTAACAATGTCATTTGAGTTGCAGGGACTGAGTTATAATTAATATGATGGGAATTCCATATTTTTAAAAGTCATAGATAATAATTGCTCCTTCCAGATTTCAGGCATCACTTTAATACCTCCATTAGGTGCATAAAAATACAGAGAAATGCATATCTCTTTAGGACATAAGCTCAGAGTTTTTTGCCTCTCCGCGATGCACACACAGAACCAATACTTAAACCAGGTGAGGGATGTTTCTTTCCCTGTAAATATTTTAAATCCTAGCTTCAAAAATTCGAAAGAACTATCATAGCAGAAGGGAATCAATTACAACTATGTGAAATGTAATGCATTTGCTTGAGACAGTTGTATTTGTTTATTTGCATTTTAAATTGGCATTTGTTGACTTGAACAAGCAAGATGAAGAAAACAAAAATTTCATACTCTGGTGAATAAGGCATTTAGGGATCGACTAGTTTCGGTGACAGGAAAATTGCTATGCCACTGACAAACATATTACTAGAAAAAGAGTTAAACTAAATTTTACATCAAGGCTCAAGTCAACAAACAAGTTTTCAATGTTAGGCTTTGATTGAGAGATGAAACCATGAAAAATCAATAGCCTGTTTGAAAGAGTAAAAGATATGATATTAAAGTGGTGCTTGGTATAGAAATGAATCTTGAGAATTTCATACATTAAAAAGAAAAAGTTGGTCTATATTTTTTTTACCACTATGCTTTCCAAATTTCCGTGTAATTGTTAAAAACAAAATCTGTGAACAAGACTAAATCTGAAACTTCCTAATTTGAAAGAATTATTTTTAATTTAATGGTGAGTAGAATATCAAACAGGACTTTGCATGCCTACTTATCTTTATATTTTTTGAAGCAGGAATACATAGTTATTTCCACATTTTAGACTGTTGTAAGCATCTTGATAAAGTCTGCTATATTTCTTCTTTATTTTTTTTCCTAAGTGGAAAGGTTAAAGGCAAAATGTAACATATAATTATTTCATAAGCAAAGACCATAAGATAAATAACCTAAGCGGTAATAGTATCCTCACTGGAAATAAACAAATATGGTACAGAACATTTTAGTTCATTCCTGTTCTGTCCAGGTGAAGATTGCTTTTCAATTACTTGTTTAAAATGAAAGCTTGTGACCGAAACAACTGTGCCAGATTGGTATTTGAGGTCTCTAATTTGCTGTGCATGACATCCCTTGGAACAGATGCATGGGGACAGAAGTGACTAAAATTGCTCTTTTGTGATGGCTGATCAGAGGCTAATATAGCCAAGGAACAGCAGCTTAGCTAAGAACTACTCATTGCATCAGCAGTCCTTCCTGGAGTTAGCCACCGCAAATACATGGATCAAAAATTTCATCAGTCTTTGAGAGCACTCTATGTCTCTGTGTTTTATAACTGTGGAAGCTACCTTCTCATGTGTTATTGAGCACTTACACGAGGCAAAGTAAACTAAGTCTACCACATAATGTAAATAGGTATTGCTTTATGAGATAACATTCAGTGTTAAGTCTATATAATATCAGTACCAATAACTTGCTTTCATTATCTTAGAATTTGTTTTAGACAACATTTTTATTTGATATTCCCGATTTAAGGTAAAAGCTGCGTGAGATTAACACAAGTTACAGAATTAGATTATTAGAGATAGAATGTACATCGACCTTTTACAAGTCAGAGATTTGGGCAGGGCACAGTGGCTCACGCCTGTAATCCCAGCACCTTGGGAGGCTGAGGAGGGTGGATCACGAGGTCAGGAGATCAAGACCATCCTGGCTAACACAGTGAAACCCCATCTCTACTAAAAATACAGAAAAAATAGCCAGGCGTGGTGGCATATGCCTGTAGTCCCAGCTACTCGGGAGGCTGAGGCAGGAGAATCGCTTGAACCCCGGAGGTGGAGGTTGCAGTGAGCCCAGATTGTGCCACTGCACTCCAGCCTGGGTGATAGAGCAAGACTCCGTCTTAAAAAAAGTCAGAGATTTGGTATAACTATTGTATTTTATGCTGAGATTCTAATAGATAGAATATTCAATCAGATGGAATCTCATGCAAATATTTAATAAATATGCATATATTTTGCTTAGAGCAGTGGTTTCTGAAGAAGCTTACATGTAAATCATGAGTTGTTAATTCATTTACTGAAGGATAGACAAAAATGTCAGTACTTTAATCCATATTTATTTGATAGCAAAAGATAAGAAAAATACTAAGATATAATAATATTTAATATACAGATTTCAGTATTCCTTTACTGATTTGAAACATCCTGCATTTAGGTAATTAAATTATACTAACAGTAGAGTGAGTTTCACAATGGGCAAAATTGATAGTGGTGCCCTCAAAATTTATTCACACCTAGTTATTTGATTTGTAGATTTTATTTTTATATTTTAATTAAATTAACTTCCATTATTGACAGATAAAAATAATACCAATAATGTAAGCAAAAACAGACAATGTAGCTGTGTAATTTAAACATGCCAAATAATTCCATTTGTTACATAAGCTAATTTCCATCCATATTACATGGTAAAAAGAGGAAAGAAAGAGAAAATGGAATTTTTAATTAGATCTGAGTACTAATAATTTCAAATACTTTTGAAATTTCCAGTGAATGGTAACCCTCAATTAAATACTTTTGAAATTTCCAGTGAAGGGTACCCCTCACTTAAATATCAGAGATAAAGATGTAGATTGTGTTTCTTGCCCAGAAAGGGAGAAGGGCACTGGGACACAGTGTCTCCATCAAAGCAAATAGTAGGCCATACTTGGGAACTTTTAAGAAATCTTGGCGTTCTGGGATTAGTTGGTTGTTTGTGGAACAAGATTCGAAAAAGTGAGACTCTCAGGAATTCCTTACATTAAGCAGGTAGAGGTTAGTGACTTGGAAGGCCAACAGTTGTATATTCTTGATGTACTCTGCATGAAACCAGTTTTGCAGTGATAAACATACAGGATTTTAAAAAGTCAACCCTTTGGCTTCCATTTCCTCTTGCTGGAGAAGAATTTTTTGTTTTCACCATTAATAAGAAAACTATATGAAAAAGAGACTTATGTCCACTAATGTGAATGCTGAACTTCACTCTGAATATAATCATGCCTTGAAATACAACTTCTTAAATTATGATTCTCATGTTATCAGTAATAATTTGAAAAACTGAACATCAAGAATATGAAAAGAAAAGGTATAATGAAGAACAAGTTTTTAACAGTCATATAAAATATTTAAAGTACTATTTATTTTTTCTTTACTTCTGTAAGTTATATTTAGTATATGCTTTGTAATGCATATAATATATCAGAACAGTACACATTATATATTAAATAAATGTATTTAGGTTATATGCTCAATAGCTTTGATTGACAGGTATATGCCATAAAATATGTTGGAGACTGTTAATCTCTAAACTGTATGGTGGTAATTTGAAGGCACAAGGTGGTATTCAGAGGCTTTAACCTTTGGGCTTTACCTATCTTTCGAACTACATCTCCGTTCTTCCCCTCATTCTTTCCTTAACCCTACTACCACGTGAAGTCCTTCAGCAGGCCAGTTAACTTTCACCACCCCACACCTTTGTGATGATGGATAACACAATGATGCATGAAAGTGAATTTCACTTTTTTTTTTTTTTGAGGCGGAGTCTCGCTCTGTCGCCCAGGCTGGAGTGCAATGGCACTATCTTGGCTCACTGCAAGCTCCGCCTCCTGGGTCCACACCATTCTCCTGCCTCAGCCTCCCGAGTAGCTGGAACTACAGGCGCCTGCCACCATGCCCGGCTAATTTTTTGTATTTTTAGTAGAGATGGGGTTTCACTGTGTTAACCAGATGATCTCGATCTCCTGACCTTGTGATCTGATCTGCCCGCCTGGGCCTCCCAAAGTGCTGGGATTACAGGCGTGAGCCACCGCACCCAGCCAGAATTTCACTATTTTTTACTGAAACTGGTCTTTGGTCTTAAAAGTCTGTTTCATCAGTAATATGATTTGTGTCTGTGTCCCTGCCCAAGTTTCATGTCAAATTGTAATCCCCAATGTTGGAGGTGGGGCTTGGTGGAAGGTGATTGGATCATGGGGGCAGATTTCCTCCTTGGTGCTGCTCTCCTGATAGTGAATAAGTGCTCGTGAGTTTTGGTTGTTTATAAGTGTGTGGCACTTCCCCATTCTCTCATTTCTTTCTGCTCCCACCATGTAAAATGTTCCTGTTTCCCCTTCACCTTTTGCCATAATTGTAATTTCCCTAAGGCCTCCCAAGGCATGCTTCCTGGACAGCCTGAGGAACAGTGAACCAATTAAACCTCATTTCTTTATAAATTACCCAGTCTCAGCTATTTCTTTTTAGCAGTGCAAGAATGGACTAATACAATCAGGACTGAAAATTTATGTTATGAAAACTTGTAATACGTTGTGTGTGTGTGTGTGTGTGTGTGTGTGTGTGTGTGTGTGTGTGTATTTAAAATTTTCTGGGAACTAAAAGTATAAGAAATTCAAACAAAAAATTAAGTAATACATAATGAAAACAAATGGATATGAAGAAAATAATGTCCTCAAGTTCCTTACACATTGACAACAAAGAGATAAAGAAAAAGTCAGATTATGTTTAGCATCATAAATTCACATTGAGAAGAATTGTTTATTGTCTGAAATTTTGTTTTTATGATTTTAATGATAGAATACCTTGTATTTTAACTTATACATAGCACAGCTAGAGACCATGTACAGTTCCAGTCTGTTTTGCAACTAGTTATGACCAAATGACTAAATTTGACCTAATGAGAAAGTGAGTGTGCAATTTCAGAGTAAAAATCGTAAAGGAACCTGATTGCTCTAAATGAATGCCTCTCCAACTTCACGTGGACTGTAACTTGAAGGGGGTTGTATTCTACAAAACTTGAACTGAGAAAACAAGGACAAAATCAAAAGAAATAAATCTGAGTACCTGAATGACCTCATGAATTAAGCCTCCTAGTCCCCTAAATCACATATTAACTTCAACTTAGAAAGCAATAAGCATTGAATCCTTTCAAAGACATATGTTTGGTATAATTAGTATATTTTATATTGAGGTTCTTCGCAACTATAACATTTAATTTAAAAGAATCTCATGCAAACAAAAATGTGGATGGATTTTTTGTTTTTCCACAAACACTATGTTAGAGACTCCTGGCTTATTTATATAGTAGCAATACAATAAACTTCATTCTTGCTTATAATTGTTTTTCTTATTTTCTTCTAGAAAATGGAAAAAAGATAAACAAATTAATGCATGCTAATGTAGAGTTAGGTCTGCCATCTGTCTACAACAGGTGACTCAGAAAGATTAATGCTTTTCAGATAATGGATAAAACTAAAACTATTTTTTTCCCTTTCAATTAAGAGATGGGACAAAAGAATTTACAGATGTATAAGATAATGTTAATAAGATAATTTACAATTACATTTGTACCTTTGAATCTACAGTCTCCTTTTCTTCATCCCTCTTGGTATCCTGCCCTACCCTTTCATAACCAACTTTCTTCTCTCTGTTTCTATGAGATTGATTTTTTTTTAGATTCCACATATAAATGAGATCATACAGCATTCTGTGCCTGACATTTCTCTTCAAAGAAGGTTCTTCAGGTCCATCTATGTTGTAAATGACAGACTTTCCTTATTTTTAAAAGTTGTATAGTATATCTATAATGTGTATATAGCACATTTTATTTACACATTCATCCATTGATGTACACAGGTTGTCCCTATCTTGGCTTTTGGGAATAATAGTGCTGAAATAAACATTGGAGTGCAGATATCTCCTCCATGTACCAATTAAATTTCCTTTGGATACAAATGCAGAAGTTGGATTGCTGAGTCTTATGGCAATTACAGTTTTAGTTTTTGAAGATTCTCCATATTATTTTCCAAAATGGCTGTACTAATTTATATTCCCATCAACAGTGTACCAGGGGTCCTTTTTCTCTATATCCTTACCAAAACTTGATATTATTTGTCTTTTAGATAATAGCCATACTAACAAATGTAAGGTGATATATTTTTGTGGTTTTAATTTATATTTCTTTGATGATTAGAGATGTTGATCTTTTTTTTTTCACACATCTGTTGGCCATTTGTATGTCTCTTTTTTAAAATTGTCAGGTCCTCTGCCATTTATTTTTAATTTGGGTTATTTGTTTTCTTTTTATTGAGTTGTTTGAGTTCCTTATATATTTGGGATATTAACCCCTTATTGGATGTATGATTTGCACATCCAGATAACCCTTAAACAACATGAGGGTGAGGGGTACCAAACTTCTGCTTAGTAGAAAATGCTTCTATGCATTTGACTTCCCCAAAATTTAACTACTAATTGCCTACTGTTGACTAGAAGACTTAACGATAATCTAAATAGCTCATTATCAAATATATTGTATATGTATTAACTGTATTTTTACAATAAAGTAAGCTGAAGAAAAAATACATTATTAAGAAAATCATAAGGAAGAGAAAATAAGCTTATTATTAATTAAGTGGGATGAATCGTAAAGATCTTTATACTCCTTGTCTTCATGTTGAATAGGCTGAGGAGGAGGAGGAAGTGGAGGCCTTGGTCTTGCTGTCTCAGGAGTGGCCGAGGCAAAAAAAAAAAAAAAAAATCTGAGTATAAGTGGACCTGTTCAGTTCAGACCTGTGTTGTGCAAGGTTCAACAATATTCCATGGGCTGTTTCTTCGCTCTGTTGTTTTCACTGCTGTGCAGAAACTTCTTAGATTGACGTAATCCCATTTGTCTCTTTTTCACTTTTGTTGCATGTGCTTTCAAAGTTCTAAGAAATTATTGCCCAGTACAATGTGGTGGAGATTTTCCTCAAGTTTTTCTTCTAGAAATTTTACATTTTCAGGTCTTACATTTAAGTCTTTAATTTATTTTGAACTGATTTTTGTGCATGGTGTGAAATAAGGATACAATTATTTTTGCATATGAATATTCAATTTTCCTAACACCACTTATTGAAGAGAATGACCTTTTCCTATGTGTGTTCTTGGCATCTTTGTCAAAAATAAATTGACTATAAATACTTAAATGTGTTTTGTGGCTTTCTATCCTGTTCCATTGGTCCATGTGTCTATTTTTATGCCTGTGCCATGTTGTTTTCGTTATATAGCTCTATAATACATTTTAATATCAGGGAGTATGATGCCTTCAGCTTCATAGTAAGTCTTAAGGTTGAGTAGTGTCAATACTACAACTTTGTTCTTTTCCTTCAATATTGTGTTGGCTATTTTGGATATTTTGCCTCTCAATAAATTTTAGAATAAATTTGTCAATATCCACAAAATAACTTGCTGGAATTTAAATTGCGATTGCATTGAATCTACAGATAAATTTGGCAAGAACTGACATTGGAAAATATTTGGCCTTCCTACCCACGGCCATGAAATATCTCTCTTCTTAACTTAGTCCTTCTTGATTCCTTTCATCAGAGTTGTGTTTTCCTCATATATATTTTGTACCCATTTTGTTAGATTTATATCAAGGCATTTCATTTCTATGAATGGTAATATAAATGGTATTCTGCTTTAAATTTGTAATTCTACTTGTCCATTGCTTTTATATAGAAAAGTTATTGACTTTTGTGTATTATTAACCTTGTATGCCACAACATTGCTATAACCATTCATTAGTTCCAATTTTTTTTTTTGTAAATTCTTAAAGATTTTCTACATTGTTGAGCATGTCATCTGCAAACAAAGGCAGTTTTATTTCTTTCTTCTCATTCTGTATACCTTTTATTTCTTTTTCTGGTCTTAGTGTTAGCTAAGATCTAATATAATGTTGAAAAGCAGTGATTAGAGGTGATGACATCATTGCCTTGTTTCTCATCTTAGCAGAAAAGATTCTAGTCTCTCACCTTTCAATATAATGTTACTTATAAGTTTTTTGTAGGTTTTCTTTATCAAGTTGAGAAGATATTGCCCCAATATAAGTATTATTGCTCTGCATTCCCAATGATATACAGCTTTACCAGAATCCTAAAGTTTTGATAGGCAGTGTTTTCTTAGCCGTTTGTTTTAAAAATCCATTATTCCACTTCTTCGATAGGGGGTTATTTATAATCTTGTATGCTGTTTCTAAAATTATGAATAATCATTCATATAAAAGATGGAAAACCTATAAATATATAGCTGAGAAAACTATGAGAATGAAAACAGTTCTGTAAGCAAAATTTCAGGAAACAGCATTGTTAGAACTCCAGGTGCCTGCCTTTTAAACCTTTCCTCAATCATAAAACTTAATTTTCACAAATAGTAACTGCTATTCTTTACACCTTTCTTTACAGACTTCTTATCCAATATGTCCCTAAACAATATATTTCACTTTGGTCTACATCTGAAAATCACAAAATTGGGGCCATATAAAATGTATCCTTTGTTATATTGCTGCTTTTCTTCAAAATAACTTTGTGGTCTGTATCTGCAGTTTACTCATTTTCATTGCTCTATACTACACCATTGTACAAATACCTCACTCTTCATAAATTTTACTAATGACAGATATGCAGGGTTTTTTCCCTCCACTTTTTGGTAACTACAAATGTTGTTGATAAAAATATTCCTTTACTTTTCTCTTGGTGCACATGTGTACTCATTAATGTTGTGTATATACTTAGAAATGGAATTACTGTGTTATGGAATATTGTTATTTTTAGGTGTAGTCTATAGCGATAATTTCTTTTTTCAAAGCGGTTTTACCAACTTAAACTTTGAAGAGAAGTGCATGAGGTTCCTGCTGCTCCACTTTCTCATCACACTGACCTACCTTGTTTTCTATTTTCTTTTATGTTACTTTATTGTGGTATGAACACTTAACATGAGATCCCACCTCTTAACGATTTTTTAAAAATATAATTTGTTATTGTTCACTATAGGAACAATGTTGTACAGCAAATCTTTAGGGAAGCTTATTTTTCTTGCTTGACTGAAACTTAATGCCCATTGATTAATAACTCCTCGTTTTCTCTTCCCCACAGCCTGTCAATCATGATTCCACTCTTTGAATCTTTAAGTTTCACTATTTTACATTCATTATATAAATGGAATCATGCAGTATTTGTCTTTCTGTGACAGGTTTATTTCACTTAGAATAATGTCCTCACAGTTCCTTCATGCTATTGCATATTCCAATTTCCTTCCTTTTAAGGCTGAAATGTATTCCATTGTATGTGTACATTCTTTTACATTCCTTTTTCTTATACATTCATCTGTTGATGAACATTTAAGGTGTTGTCATAACTTGGCTATTGTGAATAGTAGTGCAGTGACATTGGTGTATTAATATTTCACTAAGATTCTGACTTCAATCTTAAATACACAAAAGTTAGACTGCAGAATCATATGGTTGTTCTATTTTTTATTTTTTTGAGAAACCTCCACACTGTTCTCCATAGTAACTGTACCATTTTGCATTCCCACCTACAGAACACAAGGGTTTCAATTTCTTCACATCCTTGTCAACGCTTTTTTTTTAATAATAGACATTCTTATAGGTATGAAGTAATATCTCATTGTGGTTCTGACTTGAATTTCTCCAATAATTCTTGAGTTGATTATTTTATTATATATCTTGTGGCTATCAATATATCTTCTTTGGAGAAATTTCTATTAAAATCATTAGTCTTTTTTTTATTGTGTTCTTAGTTTTTTTTTTTTGCTATTGAGTTATAGCAGTATATTGTAATTTTTAGATATTAACTGCACAATAAATTTATGGTTTGCAATTTTTTTCTCATTCTGTAAGTTGCCTTTTCACTCTGTTTATTGCTTCTTTTCCTGTGTAGAATTTCTAGTTTGATGTAATCCCATTAGTTTACTTTTGGTTTTGTTGTCCATACTTTTCATATTATGCTCATAAAAGTATTCCCAAGACCAAGGTCATTAGGCTAGTTCACCATTTTCTTCTAGGAATTTTATAGTTTCAGGCATTACATTAAAGTCTTTAATCTTTTCTGAGTTGATTTTAATGTTTGGTGTAAAATAAGAGTTTTTCTTTTCTTTATATTTTTGCAGGTGTATATCTGTTTTTTTCAGCACTATTTATTGATGAGACTATTCTTTCCCCAATTTGTATTTTTCACATTATTGTAGAAGATTAGTTGATCATATATGCATGAATTTACTTCTGGGTTTTCTATTCTGTTCATTGGTCTATGTGCCTATTTTTATGTAAGGACCATACTGTTTTGTTTACTATAACTTTGTAACTGTAGTGAATTTTTATAGTCTTATGCTTCAGCATTCACTCTGAAAGTAAATTTAACTCTCTCATGCCAGAAGCAGGGTGTAATAACCTTTGACACAGTTTCTAGTTCTACATTTTCCCCCATTTCCTCAGTATGGTTGATCCAGATATCTGCTTTATACAACTGTCTCCTGATGAACACTTTGCTTTGAGACAGCTACATACAACCTACTTGACCTGCACTGCTAACTCCCACACCTTGCGTGGACTGTGCAGATATGCCACAGCAACCATCTCTCAGTCACAGTGTGACATATGAGAACTTGTGCCTGCTTGCTTTAAGTCCACCTATTAAAACTCCCCATGACAAATCAGATTACATAATGCCCTGGATCACAACAAAGACACTGGCTTGTGATTCTTCTTTCCTTCTGTCAATGTGCTCCCTGACCTCTGCATGGATGTGCCCTCTAGGCATGCCATGTATTTCCCCAAGAACTGTAAGTAATACAATTTTTACTTCAATTTTGTATCTCTCCTAATCATTGAGGGGATACTCCCTAACTTAAAGGCTCTAAGTCAAAAGAGTAATATATTTCAAAATAAAAAATGTGTGAGTCTCCATTTGTTCTTTCTCAAGATTGATTTGGCTATTTCTGGTCTTTTGCGGTTCTGCATATATTTTAGAATCTTTTTTCATTTTTAAAATGTTTGCCATTGACATATTGATAGGGATTTCATTGAATTTGTAGATTGCCTTTGGTAGTATAAAAAAATTGACAAAATAAAGTCTTCCAATTCAGGAACACAGAATGTCTTCTCATTTGTTTATACCTTGTTCATTTTCTTTTATCAGTGTTTTTTAGTTTTTAATATTCACATCTTTCATCTCCTTAATTAAGCTTATTTCTAGGTCTTTTGTTGCTTTCGGTACTATTATAAGTAAAATTGTTTTCTAATTTCCTTTTCAGATAGTTTATTGTTAGTGTATAGAAGTGCAATTGATGTTTGCATGTTGATTTTGTATCCTGCAATCTTACGGAGCATTTTATTATTTCTAACAGTTTTTTTATGAGGTCTTAAGGAGTTTATAGTCATAAGACTATGTTATCTGTAATCAGAGACAATATTACTTCTTTCTTTTCTAATTTTGATGTTTTTTCGTTCTCTTTTCTAGCATAATTGTTGTGCTAGAACTTCTAGTACTATGTGAAACACAAATAGTAAAAATGGTATCTTTGCTTGGTTCCCAATCACAGAGGAAAAGCTTTTAGTTTTTCACAATTTAATATGATGTTAACTGTGAGCTTTTCAGATATAACCTTTTTCTATGTTGAGGTAATTTTCTTCTATTTATAGTTTGTTCAAAGTTTTTCTCATAAATGGATGTTGAATTTTGTCAAATATTCTTTTCTGAATCTATTGAAATGATCATGTGATTTTTATCATTTATTCTATTAATATAGTGCATCACATTAATTTTTTTCGGCATCTGTTTGGGGAACCGTCAAATTTGCTGGAAACATATTTACCTCCCAGGGATAAATTCTACTTGATTATCGTGTATGATTGTTTTAATTTTCTGTTGCATTTGATTTTCTAAGATTTTGTTGAGGATTTTTGCATCTATATTTATTACATATAATGGCCTGTAATTTTCTTTTGTTGTGACATCTTTGGCTTTGATATCTGGATAATATTGATCTAATAAAATGAATTTGGAAATATTATCTTCATTTCAAATTTTTGAAACAGTTTCAGAAGAATTGGCATTTATTCTTCTTTAAATGTTTGGTAGAATTCACCAATGATGCTATCTGCTCCTGCAATTTCTTTCTTGGGAGTTTTTTGATTATTGATTCAATCTTTATATTAGTTATTGTTCTGTTCAGACTTTATATTTCTTCATTATTTAGTCTTGACAGGTTGTATGTATGTATTCATTTATGCTAAGCTATCCAATTTGTTGTCATATAATTATTCATAGTAGTCTGTTATGATTCTTTATATTTCTTTGGGATTGGTTATAGTAACTCTTCTTTAGTTCTGATTTTCTTTATTTTAATTTTTTCTAATTTTTTAAAGAAGCTACATAAAGTTTATCAATATATTTTCAAAAAACAAACTCTTAGTTTCATTGATTTTTCTATGTATTCTGTATTTTCTATTTTGCTTTTGCTGTACTCTGATATTTTGTTCTTTCTGCTAACTTTGGGCTTAGTTTGTTCTTTTTCCAGTTATATTATGAGATATGAAGTTAAACTGCTTACTTGAGATCTTTCTTCTTTTTTTAATGTAGGTGGATATTGCAATTAGCTTCCTTCTTAGTACTGCTGTTGCAGTATCCTATATGTTTTTATTTGCACTTGTCTTGCACAATTTTCTCACAAGTAATGAGCTAGAGGCAGTAATAAAGTCTTCCAATTAAAAAAAAGCCCAGGACCTGCTGACTTCACTGCTGAATTTTACCAAATATTTAAAGAACTAATACCATTTAAGTCTTTAATCCATCTTGAATTAATTTTCGTATAAGGTGTAAGGAAGGGATCCAGTTTCAGCTTTCTACATATGGCTAGCCAGTCTTCCCAGCACCATTTATTAAATAGGGAATCCTTTCCCCCTTGCTTGTTTTTGTCAGGTTTGTCAAAGATCAGATAGTTGTAGATATGTGGCATTATTTCTGAGGGGTGTGTTCTGTTCCATTGATCTATATCTCTGTTTTGGTAACAGTACCATGCTGTTTTGGTTACTGTAGCCTTGTAGTATAGTTTGAAGTCAGGTAGTGTGATGTCTCCAGCTTTGTTCTTTTGGCTTAGGATTGACTTGGTGATGCGGGCTCTTTTTTGTTTCCATATGAACTTTAAAGTAGTTTTTTCCAATTCTGTGAAGAAAGTCATTGGTAGCTTGATGGGGATGGCATTGAATCTATAAATTACCTTGGGCAGTATGGCCATTTTCATGATATTGATTCTTCCTACCCATGAGCATGGAATGTTCTTCCATTTGTTTGTATCCTCTTTTATTTCATTGAGCAGTGGTTTGTAGTTCTCCTTGAAGAGTCCTTCACGTCCCTTGTAAGTTGGATTCCTAGGTATTTTATTCTCTTTGAAGCAATTGTGAATGGGAGTTCACTCGTGATTTGGCTCTCTGTTTGTCTGTTGTTGGTGTATAAGAATGCTTGTGATTTTTGTATATTGATTTTGTATCCTGAGACTTTGCTGAAGTTGCTTATCAGCTTAAGGAGATTTTGGGCTGACACAATGGGTTTTCTAGATATACAATCATGTCATCTGCAAACAGGGACAATTTGACTTCCTCTTTTCCTAATTGAATACCCTTTATTTCCTTCTCCTGCCTAATTGCCCTGGCCAGAACTTCCAACACTATGTTGAATAGGAGTGGTGAGAGAGGGCATCCCTGTCTTGTGCCAGTTTTCAAAGGGAAACCTAGGCATTACCATTCAGGACATAGGCATGGGCAAGGACTTCATGTCTAAAACACCAAAAGCAATGGCAACAAAAGCCAAAATTGACAAATGGGATCTAATTAAACTAAAGAGCTTCTGCACAGCAAAAGAAACTACCATCAGAGTGAACAGGCAACCCACAAAATGGGAGAAAATTTTTGCAACCCACTCATCTGACAAAGGGCTAATATCCAGAATGTACAACGAACTCAAACAAATTTACAAGAAAAAAACAAACAACCCCATCAAAAAGTGGGCAAAGGATATGAATAGACACTTTTCAAAAGAAGACATTCATGCAGCCAACAGACACATGAAAAAATGTTCATCATCACTGGCCATCAGAGAAATGCAAATCAAAACCACAATGAGATACCATCTCACACCAGTTAGAATGGCGATCATTAAAAAGTCAGGAAACGACAGGTGCTGGAGAGGATGTGGAGAAATAGGAACACTTTTACACTGTTGGTGGGACTGTAAACTAGTTCAACCATTGTGGAAGTCAGTGTGGCGATTCCTCAGGGATCTAGAACTAGAAATACCATTTGACCCAGCCATCCCATTACTGGATATATACCCAAAGATTATAAATCATCCTGCTATAAAGACACATGCACATGTATGTTTATTGCGGCACTATTCACAATAGCAAAGACTTGGAACCAATCCAAATGTCCAACAATGATAGACTGGATTAAGAAAATGTGGCACATATACACCATGGAATATTATGCAGCCATAAAAAATGATGAGTTCATGTCCTTTGTAGGGACATGGATGAAATTGGAAATCATCATTCTCAGTAAACTATCACAAGAACAAAAAACCAAACACCACATATTCTCACTCATAGGTGGGAATTGAACAATGAGAACACATGGACACAGGAAGGGGAACATCACACTCTGGGGGCTGTTGTGGGGTTGGGGGAGGGGGGAGGGAGAGCATTCGGAGATATACCTAATGCTAAATGACGAGTTAATGGGTGCAGCACACCAGCATGGCACATGTATACATAAGTAACTAACCTGCACATTGTGCACATGTACCCTAAAACTTAAAGTATAATAATAATAAAATAAAAATAAAAATAAAGAACTAATACCAATTCTACTCAAACTATTCCAAGAAAAGTCAAAGAGGAGGAAATGCTTCCAAATTCATTCTATGAGCCAGATTATCCTGATATCAAAATCAGATAAAGCCACAACAAAAAAAAGAAAACTATAGGCCAATATATCTGATGAATATAGATGCAAAATTTTTCAACAAAATACTAGAAAGCTGAATTCAACAACACATTAAAAAGATCATACACCATGATCAAGTGGAATTCATCCCAGCGATGCAAGGATGGTTCAATATATGCAAATCAATAAATGTGATACATCATATCAACAGAATGAAGGACAAATAACCTATAATTATTTTGACAGATGCTGAAAAAAGCATGATAAAATTTGGTATCTTTTCATGATAAAAACTCCCACAAGCTGGGTATAGAAGTAACATATCTCAACATAATAGAAGCCATATGTGTCAAACACACAGCTAGTATCATACTGAATGGGGAAAACAGAAAGATTTTCTTGTAAGGTCTAGAATAAGACAAGGATGCCCATTTTAACCACTTTCATTCAATACAGTACTAGATGTCCTAGCCAGAACGATTAGACAAGAGAATGAAATAAAGGTCATCCAGATTGAAAGGAAGAAGTCTAATATCCTTTTTAATTTCTTCTTTAACATAATGGTTGTTCAATAGTATATATTCTTAATTTCCACATATTTGTGAATTTTCCAGTTTTTCTTCTGCTACATATTTCTAGTTTTTTTCCACTGTGGTCAGAAAATATATTTGGTATGCTTTTAATCTTGTTTAATTTGTTAAGACTTGCTTTGTGACCTTGTATGTCATCTATTCTGATGAACAATACATGTGTATTTGAGAAGAATGTTTATTCTGTTGCTATTATATAGAATATTCTGTACATATCTGTTAGGTCCATTTGTCTGTAGTGTTATTCAAGTCTTCTGTTTACTTATTGATGCCCTTTCTGCATGTTCTATCCATCACGGGAAGTGAGATATTGATGTTTCATACTATCATTCTGTTACTGACAATTATTTCATTCATTTCTGACAATGTTAGCTTTCTGTGTTTAGGTGCCTTAATGATGGATGCATAGATATTTATAATTGTTCTGTCTTCCTGTTAAAATGATTCTTTTATTATTACAAAGTATCCTTTGTTGTCTGCTGTGCCAATTTTTGGCTTTAAGTGTATTTTGTCTAAGTATAGCCAACCTGTTCTTTTTTGTTTACCATTTGCATAGAATTTCTTTTCCACCCCTTCACTTTCAGTCTATGGATGTCTTTAAATCTAAAGTGAGCTCCTTGTAGTTTGCATGTAATTAAGTCTTGTTTTCTAATCCACTCAGTCACTTTGTAGCTTTTAATTGGAAAGTTTATTTCATTTACATTTAAAGTAATTATTGATAAGGAATGATTTTTTTATTGCCGTTTTGATAGTTGTTTTGTGTTAGTCTTGTTCCTTTATCTTACCTTTCTTCTCCTTTGTTGATTTTATTTTATTGATAAGCTTTGATTTTTTTCTCTTTTGTGTAACTTTTATCATGTGTGTGTGGGTATGGGGAGTGTGTGGTTACCTTGGGGCTTACATGAAATGCCTCATAGTTGTAACACTCTATTTTAAGCTGATAACTTTAGTTTAATTGCATACAGAAACTCTAAATGTTTATACCCACCACACAGATGTTTTGTTATTTTTTTCAAAATTTTTTCAAAATTTTTCTTATTTTGTCTTCTTGCATTTTTGAGTTTTATACTCTCTTTTATTCTCATGTACTATTCTATACCATTGGGAGAGTATACTGAAATTTTCACAGACTTTGTAGAGGTCGAATATTTATGAAAATTTCTGTCTTTATGCATTTTAATTCCAAGCATGCCGTTCTTCTTATATATCATTATTTAATAATAGCTCCAACAGTTTACCTCAAAAGTTATATACTATTACTGCCTTATGTTAGTATTTGTTTTTTTACACAAAAACTTACCAATTCCCTTACTGTTCTATTATTTCTTGTATTTATTAACCTCCTTCATATCCCAGGAACCCATGTTTTAGAATTTCACCTAATGAAGTTGTGTTAGTAGTGAAATATCTAGATTTTCCTTGATCTGAAAATATCTGTATTTAATCCCTATTATTATTATTATTGTTGTTGTTGTTGTTATTATTATTTGGGATGGTATGTTACTATGTGACTCAGGCTGGATTTGAACTCCTGGGCTCAAGAATTCATTCTGCCTCAACCTCCTGAGCAGCTAGGACTTGCACCTGGTTTTTAATCCTTTTTTTTTTTTTTTTTGAAAGATGTTCAGCTGGATTTGGAACTCTAGATTTGCAGTTCTTATTTTATTTTAGCATATTAATAAACTATTTTAATGTTCTGTGTATTTATTTTTTGCTGCAAAAAAAATCTGTGTTAATTGAATTGTTTGACTTACCATACTGGAAGAGGCAGTCCTCCATGGGCCCTAAGCATCTTACTTGTCCTTGCTAAGTGTTCCAAACTGTAAGGCTTATCTGTCTCCTGGTACTGAGCTATTTCTGTAACTGGTCATATACTCAAATAAGTAGGTCAAGATGGCCAGAGGACAATTTCAGTGTAATATCTTCCCCACCCCACAAGAAAGGGAAGTGACTTTTCATTGCTTGCTACTAAAGGTCTTGAGCCCTTTGCCCTGTATTCCTCAGCTGTGGCTTAATCCACTGACTGTATAGCCTTGAACTGGTACGTGGGAGCCGGGGAATTGGTGCATCAATATTGAAGCTCCTGATGTTTTTCTTTCTGTGAGTAACTAACTATGTTACTCTAATCCCTTGTATCAATGTCTTCTTTCATCGACTGTGAAGATATGGCAAGACAACCTTTTAGTTTGTCTTTGGAGTCTTACTCTGTTCACTGTGTGTTATCTTTGTCATCAATTTTATAAAATTCTAAGTTATAATCACTTTTTACAGTTCCTCTTCTCTAGGTACTCTGCTATATCCTTTTGCCTTTAATTAAATCTTTTAATTAGTTTTATGATAGACTCTTCTCATATGTTTCCCACATTTATTTCACCAATAAATTGTCTCATTTTACTGTATTGTAATTTTTTCATATCTCAACTGCAGTCATTAATTCTTCTTTTAGCCTTGTAACATATGTAACTCATCCACCTCAATTTTCAGTTACATTTTAACATTTACATTTTAAAATTTGTTCTACTATAAAATATACTTGGTCCTTTTCAAACTCTTGTGTTATCACTTAATTCTTATCACTTAAAACAGAGAAATAGATTGACATCATATAATCTAATACATTTTTATATCTGATTTCTGAGCCTAATTCTTCTAACTGATGTCTCTGCCTACTCCTGGTGATTATTGTACATTTTTGTAATTTTAAATTTTAGATAGCTAACTCATATTTAGCAGATGTTAATTCCCCCAAATTATTAAAGGATGTATTGAGGCTGATTTTTCTTGCATATAGTCTTGCCAGGCATCCTAAATATCTGGAAACAATTTTATTTCTCAATTTAATATTTTCCAAAATAAAAATGATATGCATTCAAATTCATTTTAAAGAAGGTATACAATTTTGATTTTTGAAAGAAGGCTCTATATTTTACTAATATGGTGTGAAGGATGAGATTTTTTAAAAAGCTCCTACTTGTTCCCCTTTAACTTGAAGGTAGATTTGTTTTTTCTCCCAGTCTTCCACATTTTATAACATCTATTTTACTTAGGTATCTCAGTATTCACTCTCCACTTCACTTGCCCTGACAGTTCTGTTGTCTGTTTATGGTACTACAAACATTATAATCCAAAGCTTGCTTTATTCATTAGTTTGAGAAAATTTTTCTAATGTCCTCAGTGCTTTCAAACTATGCTAGCACCTTTCTTTCAGCTGTCTGTCTTTTTTTTTCTAGGACCTCTAATAAGTGTAATTTCCCTTACACTTTTTAAAACTCAGCTATAGATTTAGGAGCTTGTGTTTGAAAAAAATTTTCAGCATTACTTGGACTGAAAATATTTTGCAGAATGTTTAATAAGTCAAATTATTTTAAATAAAAATACAATGAAGTCTTGTATTCTATTGTTAATTTACACACAGTGTAAAGATTAAATTCTTATACCAGAGCATATATGATAGAAAACGAGGTAGTTATCTTCGGGAAGGGAAGTGATGGACCCATTAATCAAGGCCTTTAGTCCTTTGTTTATAAATCCTTCTTAATCATGAGGCACAAAATAACTAACAAGCCATTTATCTCTCTTAAATTGACTACTTTGTAAATAGCAAGTTGTTTGGAAGTTATCAACAATGAAGAGCAAATTAAACTGAAGCAAAATATTTTTTAGACATCACTTGTATTAGTCAAGTTTCTCCACAGAAAAAGGATAGGTTTCATATATTTATATATAGATATACATAAATATGTAAATATAGATATAAAGATATATCTATATATAATATAAAGATGTATCTTTAGATCTACACATATGTATAAATATATATGTGTAGATATACCTATATAGAGTTATATAAAGATATATGTATATGTATATCTTTATAGATATATATCTTTATATCTATGTAAATATATCTTTATATCGGTATTTACATATCTTTAGATATGTCTAAAAATGTGTTGCTTCAATTTATAAAGATGTATCTTTATTTATAAAGATATACATACATAAAGATGTATCTTTACATATATAAAGATATATATAAATATATACATAAAGATGAATTTTTATATATACATAAAGATACACATAAATACACACACATCTTTATGTACATATAAAGATTTTTTAATAAGGAATTGGTCTATATAATTATGAAGGGTGAGAATTATCACAACCTTCATCTGCAAGCTGGACACCCAGGAAAGCCAATGGTATAAGCTCTAGCCCAACCTCAAAGGCCTGAGAACCAGGAAAGTCAGTGGTATGAGTCCTAGTCTGAGGGCAACGGAAGGCCAATATCCCAGCTCAGACAGTCAGGCAGAGAGAAAATTCTCCCTTCCTTTGCCTTTTCTATTGTCTTCAATAGATTGGATAATCTCTACACATGTTGGGGATGGCAATATGCTTTACTCAATCTAGAAGTTCAAATATATTTATATGTGTGTGTGTGTTGCAGGGGATCGTTTTGTTTTTAATTTTTTTTTTTTTTTTTTTTTTTAGAGGCAGGATCTCTCTGTTGCCCAAATTGAAGTGCAGTGGTACAATTCTGCTCACTGTTGCCTTGAATTCCTGGGCTTAAGTGATCCTTTCTCCTCCTGCCTCAGCCTCTTGATTGGCTAGGACTACAAGCTTGTGCCACCACACCTGGCTGATTTAAAAATATATATATTTTGTAGACATGGGATCTCACTATGTTGCCCAGGCTGGTCTCAAACTCCTGATATCAAGTGATCCTCCCACTCTGGCTTCCTAAAGCACTGGTATTACAGGTGTGACACAGTGCCCAGACCTTGATTCAAATATTAAATCTCATTCATAAGTACCCTCATGACATAATCAGAAAAAATTTTTAACTAAATATCTTTATATCGTGTCAAGTTGACATGTAAAATTAATCATCACATCATTCCAAATAATGTATTTCACCTATTGAAAAACTATACTGCCTAGTCTTCCCAAAATACTTTTGTTCTTTTACCCTACTTGGAATTATAGGCTAGAATTTGAGGTGTTTTAAAGATATACTCTTATCAAGGACTACCAATTACCAACACTGCAAATCAAATTTGCAATTCTCAGTTCTTATCTTTATGGACTCATTCACAATATATGATATATCCGTTCACTCAAAACATTTTCCTCTAAGAAATAAATTTTTGGGTAATTTGTTACCACATCATTAATTAGCCTAAGTGATCTGACATGACATACTATATAAAATAGTCTCTATTGCCATCTCCCACTGTCTTTACACTACCTTAATTTTTTTCTTAATATTTAGTATTGCATTGAATAATAGACATTTGTATTTATATTTGCTTGTTTTGCCCTTGTTTGAAGGAATATGAGATCCATTAGGGCAGTGGTATTTTATATTATATTTATTCTGTGCCCACTGGCACAT
Source organism: Homo sapiens (assembly GCF_000001405.40). Classification (NCBI taxonomy): domain Eukaryota; kingdom Metazoa; phylum Chordata; class Mammalia; order Primates; family Hominidae; genus Homo; species Homo sapiens. The sequence continues at coordinate 74,098,789 of NC_000012.12, forward strand.
AACAGGTTTTAAGTACCTACTATAATTGTGATGTTTGTTGTTGAATATGAAAACAAGTATCTATACATAGTTGTAATGCTTGTTGTTAAATATGAAATCAATGATTTTCAACTTCCCATTAATATTGTAATAAGCAATTAAATACCACATGTCAAAACTCTGAAACACTGAAATTCTTAAAATACTTTACAATAATTTAAAAATCTTAGTTGAAACTGGTTTAGTAATTCAAGAATGTCCATCAGTATTTTAGCAAAATACCTTTAAGCACTTTAGTAATTATCATGTATTTATTTAGTATATATTACCTAATATCACATGATAAAATGATGCCACTCTTTTAAGCATATTGTTATTACCAGGGTGGGCAAATGAGAAGTTAAAGAAATATTCTAAAGCTTGATAAGAGTTGTAACTCTTCTTTTAAGGACTCCACTGCAAAAGCAAATCATGTAATTAAAGTCATAGTTCAATTGCAGAAATTATGTTAAAGTATACTTTGAAATGTGTATCTCTCTAGTCATTGCAGGATGTTTAATAATCCACTTACATGTAGAGGTTGTTTTCTACTGAATAGTTATATTAACCTTTCCAGGACACTATTTTATTTTCTTAAATTAGACCTAGTTCCTTGAGGCAATGAACATAGTACCTGAATTTCACTAACTAAAATGATGAAAGTATTTTCTCAAAAGAATATAATATTATAAGCAAGGAAAAGATTGATATTTAAATTTTATTTGAAGTATAAAAATGTTAAAGTGATTAAACTTTGCAAAAATATGCTATATTCACCTTGGTGATTGGCATAAAAATATTTAAATGCAATGAATCTTAATCTTATGACAATTTTTACAAATGAAAGAAAGCTGCCTTATACTTACACAATTATATTTTGTGAAGATGAGATACAGTTCACTGTACTTTAATATATCTTCTGATGCTCTAATATATGTTTCTACTTGAGATACTGTATTCTGGAATTTCAGAATGATTTCTAGAATGGGTCAGAGCTTGGAAAATTTATTTCCATATATGGAAAAATAACCTAGATTCATCTGTATGGGAATCATATCACAGAAGAACATTTATGTTTTAATAAAAAAGAGTGACCTAAAACACTGACATAGATGTGAAAAATGCTATCCTTGGATATTGGAAGAACTCCAGATATAGGCAAGAAAAGAATCTTAAGAAATAATAATTACATATATCTATGGGATATGGTGTGATGTTTTAATATGTATTGTGGAAAGGTTAAATTAAGCTTATTAACATATTCACCACCTCATATGCTTATTTTTTGTGGTGAGAACATTTTAAATCTACTCTCTTAGCAATTCTCAAATATACATTATTTTTAACTATAGTTGCCATGCTATGCTTTAGATCTCCAAAGCTTATTCTTCCTGTATAAATGAAATGTTATACCCTTTAATCAACATCTCCTCATTCCCACTCTATTCCATATTCAGCCCCTGGTAACCACCATTCTACTCTCTGCTTATTTGGGTTTGATTATTTTAGATTCCATATGTAAGTGAGATCATACAGTATTTGCCTTTCTGTGCTTGGTTTATTTCACTTAGCAGAATGTCCTCCAGATTTATCCATGTTGTCTCAAATAACAGGACTTCCTTCTGTTTTATGGCTGAATAATATTTCATCATGCATATATACCACATTTTCTTTAGCCATTCATCCATTGGTGGACACTAAGGCTGATTCCATTTCTTGGCTATTGTAAATAATGCAAATGATTTTTCATAGGTATTGGAGGGAGTTTTCTCTTGGGAGCTTCTTATTGGTAATATCTGTGGCTTAAGTGCTTTTCCTAATCTGGTTCTCAATGATGTTTTTACTTAGACGCAGAAGGAATGGAAAGGGGCTAATTCTTCATATGATAAAGGAACATTAGTCACTCATGTTACCTGGAAGAGGGCAATGCTTCATCATTTCGGTGGTTGGGACAATGTTGTTTATATCTGTGGTTTAATTTTTGCTCAAATAAGATTATGAAACCATGCTGCTTTTTTAGTCCATTAGTCAACCATGATCACAGAGTGACCCTATTTTACATTGATCTTTTGTGAAAATATGTAGTTTTATTCATTTGGAAAAGCCCATGGTCTAGTTGTTAGCACATGAGTTGAAGGCTACTTTTTCTATCTCAGTCTTTTAGTCAATTCTAAACATAAAATGAAAGATTATATTTTTATTATTATTACTCCTGATGTATTTTGGTCAATACAGTAACTGCCAGAAAGCTCATGTCATTTACATTAAAAGTTCAGTTTTATAATCTTAATTATTTTACTTTTCGGAATCTAAAAATAATATTTAGACTTAAGTATTTCTCCACCACTTGATATAGGACTTTCTATTTTTTCTTTATGATGCATTATTGAAGACCTCACCTTATCATTGAACTTCAAAGACTGAAGCTGAATAGAAATATACTAGAATTCCTGAGCAAGTTAACATAATTTTTTGTTTTCTCACCCATAAAATGAGGGGAATCATGCATATGCCACAATTGTAGGTAATTTGAGTTTATTTTTGACATTAGATGGTTTATAACTGACATTCTTCTTCATTAAAACTTTCAAAAGCTCAATAGTCTTGATATTCTTCTGAACTCTTCTTTATTTAAAAATAATGTAGGAATTGTCTCTCTTAAATGCACTGACAACATTTTTAACAAGTTACAATCATTACTTTTCAGTGCATTAGAAATAATGAATAGCTGTCCTTTGAGGTCCAACTGTTATTTCTTGAATTAGATATCCTAATTAGTGGACACCTCTAAAAATAAAAAAAAAATCTTACTTTCATTAAATTCCCTGCTATATTTTAAGACATCATTAAGTTTGGTGTGCAAAAGAATATCTTGAAATTTGAAGTAATGTTAGAAGTACTGATTGGGTATTTTGTAGGATGCTTCTCTATTTGAATTTCGCTGGTGTTTTTCTCAGTTAGATTGAGATTATGGGTCTTTGGAAAGAAGCTGACAGAAATGAAGTGCTATTTTCATCACATAATACCAAGGTGACATGCTACAAACATGATTTTTGAATATTGATGATGACTCTCCCCATAACCCACTCTTTTTCTTACTGGACTCTGAAGGAATTCACTATGCATAGGTCAAACTTAAATTGTGCTCCCCTCGGCCAGGCGCGGTGGCTCACGCCTGTAATCCCAGCACTTTGGAAGGTCGAGGCGGGCGGATCACGAGATCAGGAGATCAGAACCATCCTGGCTAACACGGTGAAACCCCGTCTCTACTAAAAAAAAAAAAAAAAAAAAAAAAATTAGCCAGGCGTGGTGGCGGGAGCCTATAGTCCCAGCTACTCGGGAGGCTGAGGCAGGAGAATGGCATGAACCCAGGAGGCGGAGCTTGCAGTGAGCCAAGATCGTGCCACTGCATTCCAGCCTGGGCGACAGGGCAAGACTCCATCTCAAAAAAAAAAAAAAAAAAAAAAATTGTGCTCCCCTCTTTGAGAGCAGTATATCTACGAAAAGCAAATTGGTGTCTTGTCAACTAATGTATTCATTATCTGTATCAGTGTTAGCTCACAGTCATTTATTTCATACTTTAGATTATAATACAATACTATCTTATTTAATTTGTTTCTCAAACTGCTCCAGATATGGCCATCTAGACCACTTTCAGTTGCCTTATGTACCCCTTTTACCTACTCCCATCAATGTGATTGTTTTATTTTGTTTTGTTTTGTTTTCTCACTGAACTCTTCCTTACTTTCTGGTACTGAAAGATTCATCATATAAATTTTCGGCCCTTGTTCTAGAATCAACCATTTATCCCAAGAATCTTCTCTTATTGGAGAATTACATGAAAAATCAACATCTGGGACTGAGTCTGTTACAGCTACTGGGATATTATTTTAGATCTGACAGAGTAAATAAATAGACACACAAGCACACACAAATACATATATACATACATATACATATGCATATATACACACATATACATATACATTCACACACATACACAATATTTACTTTTCTTCTTAAACTGGGGAGGACATCTAGTATGATGTTGAATAAAAATAAAGAGAGGGCAACTCCTTGATTTCTTCTTGATCTTAGGTGGACAGCATTCAGTTCCTCACCATTAAGTATGATGCTAGCAGTATAACTTCTGTGGATGTTTTTTATCAAGTTGAGAATATTCTCCACTTTTCCTAGTTAGCTGAGTTCACCATACAAATTTTACTGAACTTTCTCAAATGCTTTTTCTGAGTCGATTGATATGATCATATGTTTTTTCTTTTAGTTTGTTGATATGATGTATTACATAATTGATTTTCAAATGTTGAGCCAGCCTCACATACCTGGAATAATTGTCTGCAGTTTATGATTCTTATTAAACTCATTATATATTGTTAAACATCATTATTTTTGGAAAACATTAAAATACATATTTATGAGAAATATTGATCTAGTTTCCTTTTTTATGACTTTATATAGTTTTGGCATTAAGACAATGCTGACCTTATTTATATGAAGAGTAGGAAGTGTTTTTGGTTTTTGTTTGTTTTGCTTGTATATTCTGAAAGAGATGCTCAATGGTCATGTCATTTTTCCTTATATGTATGGTAAAATTCATCAGTAAAACCATCTGAGACGGGTGCTTTAAAAAGATATTAATTATTGATTCAATGTCTTTAACAGATTTGGTTTTATTGAGGTTATCTATTTCTCTTGTCTACGTTTTGGTAGTTTGTCTTTAGGGAAATTTGTTCTTTTTATTTAAATAACCAGATTTTTATCAAAATTGCCACTTTAACATTCCTGCCATCTTATGGCCCCAGCAGTTTCTTATAAAAGTCAGATGATCTCAACTGTGGTTCTCTGACTTGGCATTTCTGTCTAAATTTCAGGGTGTTGGTTTGGCCTGTGATATCATTTTCTGTTAGGTTTAAGAGAAGCCACTGATGTTCAGTTTGTTCCGATTTTTTCTTGCTATAAAAAATGTAAGCGATGACTTCTAAGCTCTTTATGCATCAGAGCTGAAACCAAAACCTCACATTTCTCCTTCCATATTTTGCCATTGTCTTATCTCTTTACAAATTTTGGTTAAATAAACAGTGTTATTAGTTTTATTTATTGTGTGTCTCAATGATGGTAGTATACTTAAGCACATTAGTTTAAATAGGTGTCAAAATTAGATTTTTATTAAAAATACTGGTATGTTTCATCTTTTAATCTCTTACTCTATTTTACTATTCAATACAACTTCTCTAGGTGAAATCTATTTCCTTTGTGCTTTAATAATTTTTGTGCACTCTTCTAACATAAATCTTATGAAGTATGGGATCCTTAAGGAAAAATTATCTATACCCATAATGTTACATGACTCTTTACCTAACATAGGTATTCAATCAATTTTTATTGAATAATTTTAATGAACAAAACACTTATTCACCTAATTTTGAGTAACATGATGTATTCCCAGTTCAAACTTACTGTTTGAACACAATTGTTTTCAGTAAATATTAATGAATATATGAATAAATAAATAAACTCCCAATTCTATTCTCTTTTACCAAATCTAAGTCAAAATAACCATTTTATGTTTTCTTCAGCTCATCACATTTATTTCTCTGACTTTTCTCTTAGTTAGACGTGTATTCTCCTAGTACAGGAAAATATTTCTGTAAGAGAAATGTTGATGAAATCTCCTTATGCTTATGCTCATTAGGTCCCTCATTTTTATTTTTTTATATTTAAAGTAGAAGCCAAGAGTTTTTAAAATTATCTTCAAGAATTTAAATGGGAAAAAACTAAAAGTTACACTAATTTTATGTAGCACACTTTTTTTCATTTAATAGTTTTTTTTAATTGTGAAGGTAAAGGAGATTTTTTTTCTCTGTATTTGTATTTTTACTCAACAAAATTATTGGTACTAATGGATAAAGACTAACTCAAATTGAAAATATTTTTCTAAAATATTTATATTCAAAACTAGTCACTAATGTTAGTATTATTTGTCTGTATTGTGATTTTTACCTGTATGTAAGAAATTTAGTTAAGAGAAAGAAGGCTTGAATATATACTGAGGTGTAATTACACTGAAAGTTTCTGCTTTTTACCAGTACATTTGATTTATACAAACAAGGACTAATGGATTTCATGGTGATATTTCCTTTGGCGAGGCAGACACAGTTGATATTCTTACCAGACTCAGTAACGGAAATTTCTTGTAGTTGAAACATATTTCTTTAGAGACAGAGATTTTCAAATTGTGTCTGACTGGACCAATACTTGGAAAAATAGAGGGCTTGCTCCTACAGAAACTATTAAGAAAAGAAACATTTCACTTTGTTTCTGGTTTTTATTTATAGCCACCATACTTCTTTCGTTGTTTACATTTTGTGGATTTTCTCATAGTACGTTTTCTAAATACTGTAGGCTGCTTACATGTTTATTCGTCAGCCTTGAAAACTATAAAATGCAAATTTTATTTTTTCTTAAAGGATTGGTCTTATTGCTGTATAGAAATCTGTCATAGACACGGCGTCTGGGGTCTGTAGAAGAGTTCATTTAGAAAGCGTCTTATTCCATGTCTTGGTTATGCACAGTATTCCAACACAATGTCCTTTTCCATGTCAAGCAGTTATTTTTTCTTAAGCTTTGTCAGTGTAAAAGTATAACAAATTATTATTTTATTTTTAACAGAAATTATGTCACGCTTGTAAAAACTAGTAAGGCAGTAATGTAACATAATGGGGCCAAGATCATATCTGGCTTTCTGCTTTGAAGATCTAGCTTAAGAACTCTTTTTTGATTTGCCCAGAGATGACGTGTTCCTGAAGTAATGACTCATACTAATGAAAAAAAAAATACACCAGACTACACATGTATTCATGTCCAGTAACACTACTATCAAACAAAATGCAAATTTTCCAGTTCAGAAAAACCAAAGTCTAGTGAAACAAGAAATGTTCTGCCCTACACAGACCTAGGTAGGGGAAAGCAAAAACATAATTGGGACTAACTTAGAATAACCTGTTGCACAGGCCAGAAGCCTATAATTACACACTAGCAAGGTTTACTCTTCAGGCAGAATGAAATTGGAATACAATTTGATAAACAAAGAATCATTATGAGAGAAGTTAGAAGGGTTAAATGTTAAGTGACATAACCATCTCACCACAGAAGCAGCCATACAAACTCAAAAGCTTCTGCAGCCACTCTGAAAATTAAAAAAATTAATATTTCAAATGATCAGCTGTAAAGCAGTAGGGTATGTTTGATAATCCTACAAGGTAGAGAGTATTTGGAGTATTCAGAAACCTTGCAGGCCTAAGAAAATCCATCTTTGGAACCATGATCAATATCCATTATCCCCCAAAGTATTCAAACAAAAGGAGAAAACAATAAGTTTCAAAACTTTTTGCAAGAACAAACAAATCCATCCACCAGACTACATTATACTAGTAGGTATAAGTTTGCATCTTTGCCATACAAACATTTGGAATTAGACATTTAAGGTTTCTTGAGTGTACTAATACTAGCTATAACTAATAACTCTAACCATAGTTATCTTAAAATAATCAGTTGACAGTCTTACTTTTTGCCTAGGTAGGGTCTCTGTCTGGTAATTTTTATATCCTTGTTTTGACCTCTATGAAATACATTTATTTTGGAGTTTAACTCAATAAATATTTTAAATTAATCAATTAATTAATATTTTTCAAAATTTGTGGGGAGTATCTCACTCTAATTCTCAGATCTTCAAATAAGACACACAACACAATATAGTCAAACCATATTTTTGTAGTATTTTATTAGGTTGGTGCAAAAGTAAATGTGATTTTGGACTGTGAATTTTAAATCATTATAACTAGGCTCAACACATCTTTATTAATCAAAATAGGAACGATTACAATCAACACATTTTTGCCAAAGAGAAATAAGTCTGTTTATTCCTGTAGCATAAAAATCAGTGTGTTGGAATTCCACGAACTCTTCGAAAGCACTTTTTGCAGGCAAGTGTTTTCCCTGCAAAAAGTTGCTGAGAAGCTTGAAGAAGTGGTAGTCAGTTGGCAAGAGGTCAGGTGAATACGGCAGGGTCAATATGGCAGATGAGGCAAAACTTCACAGCACAATTTGTTCAACTTTTAAAGCATTGATTGTGTGACATGCAGTCAGGCACTGCCATGGAGAAGACTTGGGCCTTTTCTGTTGACCAATGCCAGCTGCAGGCATTGCAGTTTTCTGTGCATCGCATCAATTTGCTCAGCATACTTCTCAGATCTAATGGTTTCACCAGGATTCAGAAAGCTATAGGGGATCAGACCAGCAGCAGACCACTAAACAGTGACCATGACCATTTTTTGGTGTAAGTTTATATTTGGAACGTTTTTTGGATCTTCTTCTCAATCCAACCATTGAGCTGGTCACTGCCAATTGTTGTATAAAATCCATTTTTCATGGCACATCACAATCCGATGGAGAAATGGTTTGTTGTTGTTTTGTAGAATAAGAGAGGATGATAGACCGGACGCGGTGGCTTACACCTGTAATCCCAGAACTTTGGGAGGCCAAGGCGGGCAGATCACCCGAGATCAGGAGTTCAAGACCAGCCTGGTCAACATGGTGAAACCCCATCTCTACTAAAAATGCAAAAAATTAGCTGGGCATGGCGGTGGGTGCCTGTAATCTCAGCTACTCAGGAGGCTGAGGCAGGAGAATCGCTTGAACTGGAGAGGTGGAGGTTGCAGTGAGCTGAGATCACGCCACTGCACTCTAGCCCGGCTACAGAGCAAGCCTCCGTCAAGAAAAAAAAGAGGACAACACTTCAAAACAAAGATTTTTTTTTTCACTCAGTTCATGAGACACTCACTTATCAAGCTTTTTCATCTTTACAATTTGCTTCAAATGCCGAACAACCATAGAATGGTCAACATTGAGTTCTTCGGCAACCATCTCATGTAGTTCTAAGAGGATCAATCAGCTTCGATGACTGCTCTCAATTGGTAGTTGTCAACTTCCAATGGCCAGCCACTAGACTCCTCATCTTCAAGGCTCTCATCTCCTTTACAAAACTTCTTGAGCTACCACTGCACTGTATGTTCTTTAGCAGTTCCTGGGCCAAATGTGTTGTTGATGTTGTGAGTTGTCTCCACTGCTTTACGACTCATTTTGAACACAAATAAGAAAATCACTTGAATTTGCTTTCTATCTAACATTATTTCCATAGTCTAAAATAAATATAAAATAAACAGCAAGTAATAAGTCATTAGCAAACAAAAGTGAAAATGTGCATTAAAATGATGTATAACATAACCACATTTATTTAAGAATGTATTCCAATATCAAATGGCAAATTCCAGCAATGCAAAACTGCAATTATGTTTGCACCAACCTAATAAACAATGTCCTCCTATTCTGTTACATAATAGATAAGTGTTTATAAGTAGGACTTCAGATGGTCTTTTTTGTTTCATCTCTAATATTCAAAAATCTTGGGCCTCAAAAAAGCTTAGAAAATAATGTGGAAACATTTGTGTAGACTGGAGATGAAAAAATAACTTGCTAGATAGGGAAATGATTGACATAACATTTATATGTTGTTTAAATCCTAGTAAGATTCACCTGCAACTTACTTCAAAAATACTTTGCAATCAAATTTTCTTACTGTAATAGAACAAAGAAATAAAATAAAATCCCACAGACAACCATCTAGAAAACCAAAGCTTCATTTAAAGTTTATAACTTATGTATTATTAGTATGAACACTGGTAAAACAGCACCCACTGGTGTAAATTTATTTAAATTAGGAATATATTTTTGACAGCTCCCATAGTTTCTTTAATCCCTTGTTTATCAAGGGCCTACTGGACAATAATGACTGTACTAAAGTCATACTCCTTAAATTATTAAGTGATGCACCTATAGTCTCTCAAAAAATACCTTATACTGATGATAAAGTGCCATTTAAGATGAACTCATAATAATTGTTATTAACACAAGCGTGATACATACTATTAGAATATTAAATATTTAATGAATAAATAAATATTAAATTACATATTTAGGGCATTGGTAAAATATTTTAATGAATTATAATATGTAGTGCTAAAATTTCTGGCACTGTGCCAAATGGCTAAAGTTTTACTATTTAAGATATACAACCTTCCTGAAACAATTGCCAGTTCTCAGTGAATGACTCTTAAAATAATTTGGTGCAAGGAAAAAATTAACTCCCTCTGCAGACCAGTAACACGCTCTGAAATTGAATCAGTAAAAAATAGTCTACCAAAAAAGGCCTAGGACAAGCAGGATTCATAGCTGAATTCTAGCAGATATATGAAGAAGAGCTGGTCCCTTTTCTACGAAATCTATTCCAAAAAATTGATGAGCAGAGACTACTCCTCAGCTCATCCTATGAGGCCAGCATCATACTGATACCAAAGTCTGGCAGAGACACAACAACAACAACAAAAAGTTCATGCCAATATTTTTTATGAACATTGATGCAAAAAATCCTCAACAAAATGCTGGCAAACTGACTCCAGCAGCACCTCATGAAGCTAATCCACCACAACCACTTAGACTTTATCCCTTCAATACAAGGTTAGTTTAACATGTGCAACTCAGCAAATGTGATTTATCACATAAAACTAAAGAAAAAATCCACATGATTATTTCAATAGATGCACAAAATGCTTTCAATGAAATTCAACACTGCTTCATGTTAAAAACTCTCAATAAGCTAGTTATTAAAAGAACATACCTCAAAATCGTAAGAGCCATCTATGACACACCCACAGCCAACATACTGAAGGACAAAAGCTGGAAGCATTCCCCTTGAAAACCAGCACAAAACAAGGATGCCCTCTCTCACAACTTCTATTCAACATAGTATTAGAAGCCCTGGCCAGAAAAATTAGGCAAGACAGAATACAACAACAATCAGAATAAAATAAAGAGCACCCAAATAGAAAGGGAGGAAGTCAAGCTATCCCGGTTTGCAGATGACATGACCCTATATTTAGAAAATCCTATAGTCTCAGCCCAAAAGGTCCTTAAGCTGATAAACAACTAAAACAAAGTCTCAGGATAAAAAATTAACGTGCAAAAATTATTGGCACTCCTATAAACCAACAGTCAAACTGAAGGAATGCAATCCCATTCACAATTGCCACACAAAAAATAAAATACCTCATATATTAGAGTTTTTTAGAGAAAGAGAACTAACATATATACATAGAGAGAGAGTTTATTAAGGAGTATTCAACTCACATGATCACAAGGTCAAACAATAGGTCATCCGCAAGCTGAGGAGCAAGGAAACCAGTCTGAGTCCCAAAGCTGAAGAACTTGAAGTCCAATGTTTGAGGGCAGGAAGCATCCAGCACAGGGGAAAATATGTAGCCTGGAAGGCTAAGCCAGTCTAGTTTTTTCACGTTCTTCTGCCTGCTTTATATTCTAGCCTTGCTGGCAGCTGATTATGCCCACCCAGATTAAGGGTGGGTCTGCCTTTCCTAGCCCACTGACTCAAATGTTAATCTCCTTTGGCAACACCCTCACAGACACACCCAGTATCAATACTGTGCATCCTTCAATCCAATTAAGTTGACACGCAGCCTTAATCATCACAAGTCGACCCCTTGTCAACTTGAACCCATACACATCTCCTGAGATCGGACATAATCTTCAAATAAAGACAATAATAAGGTCAAAATTATGCCTAATGTAATACAACTATCCTTTGTACAACTGGAAATGCACCAATCCCCAAGCCAAATGCTATTACATAGAGTTAATAACACTTAAATGCTGATATGAAGTCAATAAATCTTATGTCACATGATGAAGGAAAAAGGAAATACAATGAGGTATTTTCTTAGTACAAGTGTATACATGCACAAACATGTTTTTAACAAAAGAAGGAGGAAATACTCATGACAATTACAGTCCCCGTTTCTGCATTTGGTCATGTGGTCATAGCTAGTATTGATGACTACCTTCCTCTACTACCCCTTCTGTATTCCCTTTTTCTTCAGCAAGCACCTCAGCAGGTTGTGGGTTTTTTTCCTGGTAGAGTGACCTAAACCTTCATTCCTGAAGGGCCTGGGTCATTTATAGCCCTGCCTGGACTGAGCTGTTGCAGTTCCCCATTGACCTTAACCACAGGGCATGGCAATACTAAGAGACACCCCAAGGGATCTACTGTATTCCATGCATAGTCTTCCATACCTTTATTGTGGAATCATAGACTGATTTCATCTTGATAGTGTGGTCAATCACCCCAACCAACACCGTAACTCCCTTCTTAGCCTGTTGACTTAAGGGTAGGAGAAGCCCAAAGGGTAAAAGTTATTTTCCTTCAGCACTTTAAACATGTCATGTCACTCTCTACTGACCTGTAAGGTTTCCACTGGAAAGTCTGCTTTTATTTGTTTCTTTCCTCTTGCTGCTTTTAGAATTCTTTCTTTAATCTTGACCTTTGGGAGTTTTATTATTACATGCCTTGAGGTAGTCTTCTTTGGGTTAAATCGGCTTGGTGTTCTATAACCTTCTTGTACTTAGATTTAGATCTTTCTCTTCTTTCCTTTGTCTCCTCTGACTGTATTTTCAAATAGCCTGTCTTTAAGCTCACTAATTCTTCCCTCTCCTTGAGTAATTCTGCTATTAAGGGACCCTGCTGTATCCTTCAGTATGTCAATTGCATTTTTCAACTCTAGAATTTATTATTCTTTTTAATTATTTAAGTTTATTTGTTACATTTATCTGATAGGACTTTGAATCACTTCTCTGTGTTATCTTAAATTTCTTTGAGTTTCTTCAAAATAGCCATTTTGAGTTCTCTGTCTGAGAAGTCACATATCTCTGTCTCTCTGAGATTGGTCCCTGGTGCCTTATTTAGTTCATTTGGTGAGGTGATGTTTTCCTGGATGATCTTGATGCTTGTGGATATTTGTTGATATCCGGGCATTGTAAAGTTAGGTCTGTATTGTAGTCTTCACAGTCTGGGCATGTTTATGCCTGTCGTTGGTATGGCTTTCCAGGTATTTGAAGAGACTTAGATGTTGTGATGTAAGTTTTTGGTCACTGCAGCTGTACCTGCATTAGGGGGCGCCCCAAGCCCAGTAACACTTTGGCTCATGCAGACTCATATAGGTATGGTCTTAATGGTCTCGGACAAGTTCCAGAAGAACACTCTGGATTACCAGGCAAAGACCCTTTTTCCCTTTCCTTACTCTCTCCCAAACAAAAGAGTCTCTCTCTCTCTCTCTCTCTCTGTCTGCTGAGGTGCCCAGAGCTCTGGGAGGTGTGACACAAGCACCCGTGTGGCTATCACACTTGGAACTGTACTGCATCAGACCTGAAGCCAGCACAGCACTGGGTCTCACCCAAGGCTCACTATAACCAATACCTAGCTACCTCCTAGGAGTGCTTAAGGCCCCAGGGCTCTACCGTCTACAGATGGCAAAGCTAGCTCGACTTGTGTCCTTCCCTTCATGGCAGTAAGTTCCCTCAGTCCCTGGATGAGACCAAAGATTTCACCCAGGAGCCGGGGCCTGGAGTCAGAAATCTTAGAAATCTACATCTTTTCCACTTCTGCTGAGCTGGCACCCAGAGGAGAACAAGTTTTTCCCACTCTTTCTTCCCCTTGCCTCAGGCAGAGGAGTCTCTTCCCATGTCAACCATTACCACAGGCCCACAGTGGGTACTGCCAGGCAACCACCAGTGCTCACAGTGTTCACTTAAGGCCCAAGGGCTTCTCAGTCAGCTTATGGTGAATGCTGTCCAGCCTGGAACTCGCCCTTTAGAGCAGTGGGCTCCCCTCTAGCCCAGAGTAGGTCCAGAAATCACATCAAAGAACCAAGGCCTGGAATTTGGGACCCCAAGTGCCCACCTGGCACTCTATCCACGTGGCTGAGCTGGTGCCTAAGCTGCAAAGACAAAGTCACCTTTACTCTTCCCTTTGCTTTTCTCAAGCAAAAGGAATTTTTGCTTATAGCCACCACAGATGTGAATGTGCTGGGTCACTCCTGAAGCCATCACATCTAAGATTCATACCTAAGGCCTATGATATGTACTACCTGGCTACTGCTGCTGATTATTCAGAGTCTGAAGGGAAGGACACAAGTCGAGCTCACTTTGCCATCTGTAGACGGTAGAGCCCTGGGGCCTTAAGCGCTCCTAGGAGGTAGCTAGGTATTGGTTATAGTGAGCCTTGGGTGAGACTCAGTGCTGTGCTGGCTTCAGGTCTGAAGCAGCACAGTTCCAAGTGTGGTAGCCACACGGGTGCTTGTGTCATACCTCCCAGAGCTCCGGGCAGCTCAGCAGACAGAGAGAGAGAGAGAGAGAGAGAGACTCTTTTGTATGGGAGAGAGTAAGGAAAGGGAAAAAGAGTCTTTGCCTGGTAATCCAGAGTATTCTTCCGGAGCTTAGACTTCAGTCAGCAAGTGATGAATCCTGCCAGGACTGGATTTCCCTTCAAGGCAGTGGGTTCCCTTCTGGCTCAGGGTGTATCTAGAAATGTTGTATAGTAGCTATGGCCTAGAATGGGGGCCTCATGACTCTGCCTGGTGCCCTATCCTACTGTGGCTGAGCTGGTATCCAAGTTGCAAGATAAAGTCCTCTTTACTCTCCCATCTCCTCTCCTCAAGCAAAGGGAAGAGGTCTCTTTCAGAGATGCAAGCAGTGCTGCCTGGTGTTGGCGATGGAGCAGATGGCAAAGCTAGCTAGGCTCATGTCCTTCCCTTATAGGCAGCGAGCACTGATTTAGTCACCGTGGCTTGTGTCTTACTAGACTGTGTGCCTCCCAAGGCCACTGACTTAGAGCCCAGTACAGCAATAGGACTTGCATAAAAATTGCTGTCCTTGTGTCCTAGACTGCTGTTCAAGTTTATTTAGGACCTCAATGCACTTTAGCCCTTGGTGGTAAGGCTTGCTGAAACTCAGGTTCCAGCCACTGGGATGGGCAGTTCTTCTCTGGTTTGTCTAAATGCTCCCTCTGTGGGCATCAGTGGAGCTCTGCTCAGTGTTGGCAGCACTGTGTTCCAATGCAAAGCGCCATAATTGCTGTGCTCTCCCTCCACCAAGTGTACAGATTATCTCTTCAAGACAGGTGACTGCTGCTGAGGAATGGAAGATGGATGGCATCAGAATTCAAGACTCTTTTACCCAACCTCTTTAGTTCCTCTTTCAGCAATATGAAGTTAAAATCAGATACTGTGATCACTCACCTGCTTTTTTTAATTCCTATGAAGGTGCGTTTTTGTGTAGATAGCTGTTAAATTGGTGTTCCTGTGGGGAGGATGATTGGAGAACCCTTCCATTCAGGTATCTTGCTCTACCTCTACCTCTCTCTAAGATACATTTTTTTTGTATTCAACATATAATTGGTTTTATTCTTTTCATTCATTTTGACGATGTCTTCATTGGTGTACTTAGACAAGTAATATTTAAGTTGACTAATTATATATTATAATTAATACCTACCATGTTTATAATCTTTCTAAATTTTGCATTTCCTTTGTTTCTCTCCCTTCCATCTATTTCTGTTCTTTCTGGTTTTAATTGATTGTTTTATGTGATTTGATACTAGCTGATGTCTGAGGATACACATTACACTTAGAATGTATCGAATTCCTTTATACATCCCTTGTGATATTGTTGTCAGTCATTTCATTTATCCATGTGCTATAATCACCAAATACATTGTTACTATTATTACATTAAACAAGCAATTATCTTCAAGATAATAAGAGACATATAAGATTTTTTATTCTTAAAAAAAACTCCATTTATTCCTTCTCTTACACTCTTCCTTTCCTTAGACCCAAGAAAATAGCAGTTCCCTTCTGCTCAAATAATTTTGTTTATTATTTCCTGTGGGAGGTATGGCATGGTGGCAATAAATTCCTTCAATTTTTGTTTAGAAAATAAAGAAATCTTTATTATTTATTTTGAAGAATAATTTTGATGCATATATAATTCTAGGTGATTTTTTTTTCTCTTAGCATCACTCTCTTCTTGCTTGAATATTTATGAATAGAAGTGCAATGTAATTCTTCCCCATGCTCCTGTATAGGTAAGATGTATTTTTGTTTGTTAATTTGTTTGTTTCTCTTGTGGTTTCTTTCATGATATTCCTTTTGTCTTCGCTTTTCTCCACAGTTGTTTATTTGTAACATTCTTAGGTTAGTTTGTTTTGCTTGTTTTTGTTTGTTTCTTTGTTATTGTCCTGCTAATTGTTTTCTGAGCTTTGTGGAACTATGGTTTGTTGTTTGTCATTAATTTTGAAAATTTTTCAGCCATTATTTTTCCAAATATATTTTTCTACTTTGTTCTCTCACTTTTTTGCTTTTGCATTCCACTTATGTATATATTATAACTTTGGAAATTGTCCCACAGCTCTGAGATGTTTGTTGTTTTTCATTCTCTTTTCTCTTTGTATTTCATTTTCTGAAGTTTCTATTGTCCCTTCTTTTATGTCACTGTTTATTTCCTCTGCCATGTCATCTTCTGACAGGTTCATTGAAGACATTCTTTATTTTGGTTATAGTGTTCATTCCAGCATTTCTTTTCGACTATTTCTTAGAGTTTTTATCTCTCTGCTTATATTATCTATTTTTGCATGTTATCTAGTTTTTCCATTAGTGTCCTTAACATATTAACCATAGTTATTTTAAATGACTTGTATGATAATTTGAATGTCTGTATCATATATCTGTCTGGTTTTGATGATTGCTTTACCTTTTCAAAATGTGTTTTCCTTGCTTTGAAACATGTCTTATAATGTGGTGGTGTTGAAATCTGCCAATGTTGTGGAATAGGAAAAATAGGACTTCAGTGTGAGATCCCATGTTTATCTGGCTAAGAATCAGTCTCTGTTCAAAATTTGGTGGAGCTACTGGTGCCAGAGGCTCCAAATTCTGCTGTCTTTGTTTTTGTCTCACTTTGACTTTGGACTTTATAAGTACTCCTCTTCCGCGAGTCTATTTCTTGCACAGCATTGTTCACAATGGGTACTCTTTCCTTCCCCAGAAACAGTTATAGATCATCTTTTTCATTGCTTCACTCTGAGAATATGGTGGGATTCCTAGAGATTAAATCCACAAAAGTCTAACTTTGAGTTTCTCATTCTCAAGTTAAAATCCATACACAGCCAGGAGCAACTTGTCGAAAATTACCATTTAAGTTTTCCTACCAGTTTATTGTCTTAGCAGCTGCTGCTCAAGGTAAGCAAATCTCTGCTGTATCTCTGATTCAATATATTTCTACAGATTTTGGTGTGATGGTTTGCTTTATTAAATGCAAGTAGAGTCAGTAATATTGTCTGTCTATCTGGTTTTATCTTTATGTTTTTGTAATGACAGAAATGATGACTGCCACTCTCTGTACATGTCAGACCTGGGAATAAAAGCCCACTTCATAGATTTTAATTTTCTTATTTTTAGGACAGAATGTGGTTATAAATTATAGTTTTAAAAAACTCATTTTAGTCATGGCCTAATACACTTCATTTAAAATATTTTTATGTATGAAGATTTTAAAATATTTTTGAAAATATATTTGATAAAATTTTTTTTCTTAATATAACAGTTGTCAGTTGATCCTGGTTCCTGATTATCTTATGGTTAAGTTAAATGGTAATAGAGTGCATATTTCCCATTGAGTTGAAGTATTCAGGGTATTTAGAAGTATTTAGAGGACATATAGACTCACACGGTTTACTTTTTCTTCCAAATCTGTAAGCAGATAGGAAGGTTCTCCAGGGATTACAGAAATTTGGTCAAGTTGAGCAACAGCCTGTTTAGTCTCCTGACATTCAGCCTGTTTTTCCCTAAATCCTATATGGAATACAGTCACCTTGTTGGTCAAAACCAGCTTCTAACACAACCTGGCAAATTATAAATGAACCCAGGTGGACTTTCCTTATTACCATGCTAAAGTCTCCATCATGAGAGGAACTGCAGCTACATTACAATAACATGTGACCTATGTGCTGCCATAATGACTCACAGCGTCTGCACAACTGGAACTCCTCCTCTGCATGCAATGATGCACTGTCTCCCCACTCTATCACCCCATAAAACCCTTCTGTCACTTTCCCTTAGAGAGACATTGCTTTGGAGAATACTCCCAGTGTTCTCCTTACTTATGCCAAGTAATCAAACTCTTCTTGATCAAAAACTGCATTCTCATGGAGAGTCATTTGTTACTTGCTAGGTGAACGAACCCCATCTTTTTCTGGGTAATAGACCCATAGTCCCAATCCTGGCCACAGAAGACTAACACAGCTGAATGTTTTATGACTTTACTAGATCCTTAAAGATATTATAGACTGTCAGATATTTTCCTAAAGAAAGGAAATGTTCATTTCTGCTCCAGAAAAAAAATATTATAAAATCCTAGCGTCATATTCTACTTAGGGGCCAGAGAAAGGAAGGCAGATTTTATAGTTACAAAAATATTATTTTTTCAAATGCCAATGATGACATTTATTTCTCTCATACAAACAGTGATAAATATGATTATTTTTATAAAGCATTTTGAGTTCCTTGAGAAAAAAATCCATAGTGTTATCTGTGCTGTTTTTGTTTAGTCAAAAAGCAAGACTCACTCTAGCTTACAATTTCAGAAATCTTCCTGGAGGGCAATAGCTGAGCAAAGTTGGGAGAGGGGGAAGAGCTGACTAAGAAAGGCCATCTTTTTATGTGGAAAGAATGAGTTACCATCAGAGAAAGAAAAAAATGAGTACATCAAGGAAGCAAATATATCAAGGAAACAGCAGAATGTCTCCTAACAACAACAACAAAAGGTTTCTACTTAAAAGAGCGTAAAGGAGCAGGCAGGACAGAAGTGTACTCAGAGATCTTTCATGAAAATTTTGAGGAAATGTTGAAGAATTTGAATTCAATTTTGGAGGCAAAGTGGAGCTTTTGTCAAAGTTGATGTAACAGATAATGAAGGTTTAAAGGACCATAGTGGAAACAGAAAAAGAAAAGGAGCAAGGGAGTCGAAAAGATATTGAAGCCACATTTGCATGATTTTATTTTCAGATATAGAAATTAAGGGAAGGTAGAAATCAAGGTTGTTGTTTAGATTTCTAGGTTTGGTGACTGAATGGATGTTGCTGATACTTCCAGAAAGAAAAAAAAAAAGATAATTGTGGAGTGCAATGGACTGAATGTTTATGCCTCTCCTGAATTTATATTTTGAAATTCTAACCCCCAAAGTAATATTAGAATATTGGGATTTGGGGAAGTGATTAGGTCATTGAGGCAGAGCCCTGATGAATGGGATTTCTGCCCTTATAGAAGAGGTCCCAGAGAGCTCATTTGCTCCTCCCACCACATGAGGACACACTGAGAAGGCACCACTTCTGAGGAAGCAGGTCCTCATCAGACACTGAATCTGCCAGTGCCATGATCTTGGACTCCTAGCCCCCAGAACAATGAAAACTAACTCTCTGTGTTTTTTTTATAAGCCCCATAGTCTGTGGTACTTTGTGATAGAAGCTCAAATAGACTAAGACAGGAGAAAATGCATTTGTAATGAGGTGAAAATTTGAAAAAAGGTACAGGCCCAGGTTGGTATTCTGTGGATGAGGAGTTTGTTATCTGTGGTATATTTATAGTCAATAACATAACACTTATAGTAAGAGCTGTGAGAATGATTATAGAGAGGAAAGAGTTAAGGTAAGGACTCCAAGAAATATCACTATTAAATTAATAGAAAAAAAAGAGTCAAGGAAAAAGAGGGAATACTAATGTTTAAATGGAAGGGGAAGCAGAGTGAGTGGTGTTACAAATCCAATTGGAAAAATTACTGTAAGGCAAAATATGTGGTGAACAATATTGAATACAGTGAGTTGGAGGTGGAGTATGAAATTCCCATTGTTTTATGAAATATAGAATTCACTGGTAACCTTTTCCAAAGTAAATTTAATGGAGTCAGAGATGTTATCAAATAAAGAAATGAATGGAATATGATGAAGAAGGCATCAGACCAAGACTATAAATAAATTTAGTTGCAAAATTAGAAAGAGAGAGAGAAAGAGGGAGAAATACTGTAATTGGGGAGATAAATCTAGGGAATCTAGGGGAAGGTTGTGTGTACATTAACAAGAAAGATTTCAGCATATTTGTAGTGTGGGGGGAAGAGTAGGTATCAAAAATAAAGATGAAGATGCAGAAGTGATGTAAGAAGGGAGGGGATATAGGGACATGTTCTTTCCTGAGACTCTGGAAAATTGGTTAGCTCTGTGTGCAGATATGTGTGTAGGATGGAGAAGCTGTGGAAGACTAACAGAGAATTGCAGAGACCATGCTTCATCATTTGTATATCCTTCTTGTTTTAAATCTGAGGTAAAATAATTTTGTTAGACAAATCCACAAATTTTTAAAAGCGATTTCATTTAAGTAAATGCTTACCTATTTAAATTCTTTACAGAAATGCATGGTTTGTTAGTGGCCTGCCTTTGTGAAAGCAAACAAATTTAAAACAAAAACCAACAAAGAGAAATCAAGACAACTTGTGTCTGCTTATGTGGTATACTGAATGTAAATCCTGTATTATTTAGAACTTTATGAAACATTTGGGAGTTGCATTACCTTAGGAAAACTATGATCACATGTGAATCTTGTAATATCTTAATCAGTAGAAAAAGATAAATTATTGGCATGAAAAGATAGAAAATAAGAGAGGCTTGCACATTTTTCCTCCTGTTCGTTCTTCACTCCATTTTCCTTCCTACATCTTGACTAGGCTCAGGTACAGGGCACCAGCTGCTCCAGGAAATGCCACACCAGCTTGTGCACAGGTGCTTCTTACCCATTGTGAGTGAAATTGACTGGAATCACACAATCTTCGTCAATTTCCCACTTGTAAAAATCAGTTCTTCTAGGCAAGGGTGCTGCACTACATTTGCTCTGCAGCTGGCAGTCCCATAGAGCTGAGGTGGAGGAAGAATAGGAGATGACCTGCTGCCAGCACATGATGTGCCCTGTGTTAGTAAGCTCCCCTGATTTTTATCAGTATCAACCACCTATATGAAGAGACCAGGAGAGTATCTGGCTGAACTGAAGGAAGTAAAGAGTTTCTTGTTTTAATCCTCAAGCTCCATTCTAACTCATAACTAATGAGCTAGCATCATGCACAGCAGTACCATCTTCCACAGGCAGCAATTATATAAGAATAGCATCCCAAACTTGGTAATTCTGTGACTGGCTGGCACACAGGCTGCTAGTGTGGGAAGATGCTTTTCACACAGATGTTAGCTAGAAAATAGACTGATGGAAGTGACTGTAGATTACTGGGATCACAATAAGAAAGGACAAAGATTTAAATTTAAAATCTTTAATGCACAAGATGATTCATGCTGAAGATATTTTTTCTTTGTGTGACTCATGAGACTTCTAAATGGGTGGATTTCAATTAAGAGCACAAATAGAGGTGATTTTAATAACCAGCCTGGTGTGTTCTCCCAATAACCTGAATTGGAATGTCCTATGGACCTTATCACAAAGCAGATACCTAGATTATACCTCTGTTATTCTAATCAGTAATTATAGGTGAGGCAGAAGAATCAGCCATATATAACAAACAGGTGATTCCTGTGCACAATAAAGTTTAAGAACTACCAGTATATACTGACCTTGGTAAGGGACAAACAGGCAACATAATTATGCAGAGAAAATTCAAAGGCACTTTCATTTTAAATTTTACCATTTTTAAACTAACAGCAGTTAAATAAACTCTGATGTGAACAAATAAGAATTAAAATTATATGGATAAAGAACAACTGAGTAATTTTAGCTATCATTTGAATAGCAAAAATTGATGTTTCTTTTTGCACAGAAGTACTCCTGGGCCAAGCATTTGAAGCTATTTGGTAGTTGTTACTGACCTCTTCAAGTGTGTTAGAGCTAGATGGCAAACATGCTTACTGGATGAGAAGGCTCCAGTGTCTTGCTGGAACCATGAGACTACCCTAACCCTACCTGTTAGGGAACTCAATTTGCACATCGTCACTTCAGCACACAAACAGAATAGAATGAGATAGTGTATCACTCTGTCATCCAGGCTGGAATGCAGTGGTGTGATGGTAGCTCACTGTGGCTTCCATCTCCTGGGCTCAAGTGATCCTCCTGCCTCAGCCTCCAGAGTAGCTGAGATTACAAGCAGGAGCCACTATTCCTGGTTCTCTCCCATTTCTAAAATCACTGATACTGTTCTTTAATTATAGCAATCCCACTCCTGCTTCCATCCCCGACCCAATTTCTGACTTTGCCTCAGAATCCATGTCCATATGACTCCCCATTTTCCTAATCCCCAAATTACAGGTAACCACAACTGAATAAATAAGTTACATCATGGAAAACAATTCTTTTAGTTTATAAACATGTATCAGATAAAAGACAGCTAATCTTCAAAAGGAAAATTTTACACAATGCTTGGACACACATTAGCCTTCATTTGCTTAGTTTGAAAAAGTCAAATATAGACTAATACCTTACCTTACCTAGTAATGATAACTACCTTGACTTTATTATGGTTTTGAATATTGAAATTCATATTTTTCATATCAATTTACTTATGCAAAAAATTTATGTAATCAAGGAAGTAAAGATGTTATCCACAACATCTTCGTTTTTTCAATTAGTTCTTAGAAAATTAATTCACAAAAAGATATTATTCAGCAAAACTGAACATCAAATTTATAATCTAATCTGTTTAGGAGACAATCTTTGAAATTTAATTAAGCTAGCTAGAACAAAGAATGGTGCGTATGATTAGAGTCTACCTATAATATGTCCAGATATCTGTTGTCTTATTAGTCGATCACTGTTGGAAAGTGTGCACTCCCACCCCTGCTAAATGCACAACTAAAATAAGAATTTACACATTGAAATAAACTTTTTAATGTTTATACTGAACTTTCTGTACCAGTGAACAGGAAAACAAAGTGTAACTAACCAATTAGTAATGAATCTTTCTCTTTTGAAATACTGTATATTAATATCTGGTTTTCCAAATATCAGCATGTCATATACAGAGTAGTTTCACTGTGGAAAAGAAAAGAGAGTGATGATTTTTATATACTGTTTTTATGTCTGGTGGAATTGCTAGCATAATTTCTGTGTCCTTAATAGCCTTAGGAGCAAAACATAAAAATCAAATGAAAAGGAGTAACAAAGAGATTATCATAAATTTTTTTGTAGCCCTAAAATATGTAAAATCTTCAAAAACAAGAAGTTGTATTTCATGATACTATGCTGTATTTCAGGCTCTGTAATGATCCCTTGTGACATCTTCTTTAATTCCATCCCAGCTATACCCAGGTGAACCTGATGAGTTTTTGCTTGCCCATCTTACATTCATAATCTTTCAGAATTTACACAATAACCTTGTAATTACTCATTTTTATTACCAATCTCTTAGTTCCTTAAAGGTATGGATCGAAGTTTGTTCATTTGGTATCCTCAGCAACTAGAGTACATTTTGTACGTATCAAGCAGTCAACAAAATTTTGTTGAAGCAATAATAAAATCATTTGAAAAAAGAGTCCTGAATATTAACATAACATACATCTTTTGAAAAATATAGATTATTTTCCCACAGATCTTTTTTTTCCTCTCTAGGTTTTAAGAAATATAAGAGTCTTCAGGGGCTAGGAGTGAAAAGTTGTTAACTCAGACCACTTATGTTTCAATCATGAGACAAGTAACTTTTGGTAAAACTATTCTCTATGTAGATTGTGTTGAGTTTATTTAAATCTGGATAATCTACAATTAACGTTAGACTTTTAACAGTTTTCTATTCACCACTGAACTGGAAGAAATTAATGGATGAATTATTTTAATTAAAAATAAATACTACCTATGTAATTGTAGCTTCTGTACTCACATTACTCAAAAATATAAGAATATTTTGAGGCTTAGTATTTGTCAATTACTGAGAATGTCACAATAATTACACTAAAAAATCATAAATTTAGAAAAAAATTGGTACATAATATATTTTTACTATATGTAATCCAGCCTACTGGTGTCATCTATGCCTCACAACATCAGTACTTGCTATGAGCTCTGAATGTAATCTTGGGTTCTTTGAACCCAATATTTTATGCCAAGAAGGCATAAAATACTAACAAAGATAAAAATATATTTAAATAGATAATTGACTGGAGCTTAGAATCTATTCCATGTTAGTTTACAAAATGCACTCTGCTTTCTATTCTAACATTATATACCTTCTATTAATACTATTAGTCAATGATTGCTACACCTAAAAATAAATGTTGTGTCAAATTTTCTAACGTGTATTTTTTTACTCCAACTCATCTTTGTGTTATTTAAAATGATCATAATGCTTTTGACTTTTTGAGATATCTAGTCATTTTTGAGGCTGGCATTTTCTATCTTTCCAATCTCACCTATCATACATTAAAATTAGAGAAATGAATGGAACTTCTGATGATAAAAGAAATCAGTCAAGCATTTCACAGAGGTAATTGAGAGCAGAAAAAGAGGAATGTGTTATGTCTAAGGGGAGAATATTCTATTTTAGAAAATTCACTTGCAATACAACACCACTTTTAGATACCTTGTTTTTCTTCTTTCATATATTATGATCAAATACTAAGAAACAGGAATAATTAAATGTATATACATTTATTCTACTGAAAGAATAATTCATAAAGAGACAGTTTACCTTCAAAGAGAAAACAGCATCTAAGGTGACCACTTCATTATGAAAGAGTGAACACAAACGATGTGGCAAAGTTGTTGAGATGAGAGACACAAGTTTCTCATTTCTTATCATTACTTAAGAATGTATTTTTTCGGGGCAGGACTTTATTCAAAAGAAATTCACATGAACCTCTGCTGAACCTCTATAATAGGTATAAAGTGGCAAGTGAAGGGTTCTGTAGTTGTGGATTGGGAGAGGAAAAAAAATGCTATTAAAAATAAAAACGTTTCTAAATTATATCAACATTATATTCTGTATCAATGATTTTTATATATAAAATAACTTATAATTAAGCATGTATCATTATACATATAGGAAAGGAGTCATATTGGGACTTGAATAAATATTATCTATATTAAATAACATAAACCTATTAAAACACTAAGCAAGCATTTCAGTTTCCCTTTGATTTTCAAGAAAATGTATACTCCATGGTAATTCTAAAATATGCATCTATCAAAGGCCAAGAAGTATCAAAGTTGTCAGGTGAATAATTGGGATTTTAATGGTTACCATAAGATTTGGGAATTGTAATATAACTAACATGATTAACAGATTAGACAGAATGTTGTTAGATCAAAATAAGAGAATTAGATTTTCTATAATCATATAAAGTCTTAAGAGTGATTCAAAATATAAATTAAAAGATTATAACTCTGTTGTACCATTGATTAATTCATTAGATCAATTGTATATACTTGAAACTTCTTTTTAAAGACTAGCTTATAAACTATTTTATGCCTGTTTAGAAATACAACCAATAGAAAATTGATTAATCTGTGATCTCACTCTGGGATGTAACTATTGAAAGATAATCAGTGTTTACTAGCAATACATATTTATGTAGAAAATAACCGTATTCCTTGAAGCTAGTTACAAACATTTTGTCTTCCATCATCATACGTAACATAGTGCCTGGCACACAATCAATGTACAATATGTATGTGGAGAATAAAAGAATAAAAATAAAAATTCTTGCAGACTTTTAAAATTAAACATATAGGACTTCTATTTCTGGTCTGGCATGTGAGTTGCTTGGAAGTCATCACTTCATTATAACAAGTAGAAGGCTGAATAAACTGGAAAACCAACACCTCTTAGGTCCAACAGAGAAGTGAGGTCACTGGGCAAACTGCTGCCCTCAGAATTACAGAGAATTACACTTCTTAGAACAGAAACTCATGGGTAGAAACTTCCATGGGAGATAGTACCAAGGTAGGAGAGAAGGATTAGGATTATTTTGTTATTGTAAAGTACTTGTACTACCTGTAAAATTGCATAGTGTCATTTGAAAGTAGATTTGCATTAGCTGTAAATGCATATTGCAAATTCTAGGGAACCACTGAAAAAGTTTTTTAAAAAGTATAACCTATATCCTGAGAAAACAGAAAAAATAAAATCATATGAGATGCTCAATTAAAAGCGTAAAGGACAGAAAAAAGAGTAGAAGACAAAACTAGGAACATAACTATACTTTTTTTGTTGGTAGATATTAATCCAACTACATCAATAATCACTTTACACATCAATAGCATAAATACACCAATAAACAACAGAGATTGTCAGAGTGGATTTAAAATAGGATTCAACTCCATGTTACCTACAAGAAACCCACTTTAAATATAAAACACATATATATTAAAAGTAAAGGGAAGGAGAAAGATACATCGTGCTAACACTAATCAAAAGAAAGTAGTAGTTATATTAATTTCAGACAGAACAGACTTCAAACAAAGGGAGTTACCAGGGATTTTTTAAAAGGCCATTACATAATAATAAAGGGATCTATTCTCCAAAAAGACATAACAGTCCTTAATGTGTGTGTGCTAACAAGAGAGCATCAAACTATATGAGGCCCAACAATGATAGAACTATAAGAAAAAATAAATTAAAAAAAAAATCTACTATCGGCCAGTCGCGGTGGCTCACGCCTGTAATCCAAGCACTTTGGGAAGCTGAGGTGGGCAGATCACCCGAGGTCAGGAGTTCGAGACCAGCCTGGCCAATGTGGTGAAACCCCATCTCTACTGAAAATACAAATCTAGCCAGGCATGGTGGCAGCTGCCTGTAATCCCAGCTACTCGGGAGGCTGAGGCACGAGAATCGCTTGAACCCAGGAGGCGAAAGTTGCAGTGAGCCAATATTGCGCCACTGCATTCCAGCCTGGGCAACAGAACAAGACTCTTCCCCCACCACCCTCCCAAAAAAAAAAAAAACTATGATCATAGTTAGAGACTTCAACACCATTCTATCAGAAATAGATCCAGCAAACAGAAAATCAGTACAGACATAGTTGAATTCAACATTATCAATTAACTGTATATAATTGACATCTATAGAGTACTTCATCTAACAGCAGCAAAAAACACACTCTGTGAACCTTAAACTGCTCCAAAGAAGTCTTTCTTAAAAAGTAAACATATAGGCATTTGCTAAATGTAGCTTTGTGATTGATGCAGAAATTTACCACTCCTTTCCATCAATACACAATGAAGCATATACAACATAGCAAACCTCAACGCCAAAATAAATATCTCAGAGAAAAGAAAAACAGCACAGCAATAAGAGAAGGTCAAAGCCTCAGAGCAACAGCCAAAATTCCGGATCATGTGATGATTAATATTGTCAACTTGATTGGATTGAAGGATTTTATTTTTTCAAAGATCAATGTAAAGTTTTATTGAAATGGTGCAGAAGGGTTTAATTCTTTTTTTTTTTTGAGTTTGCTTTTTTTTTTATTATACTTTAAGCTTTAGGGTACATGTCCACAACATGCAGGTTAGTTACATATGTATACATGTGCCATGTTTGTGTGCTGCACCCATTAACTTGTCATTTAACATTAGGTATATCTCCTAATGCTATCTCTCCCCCCTGCCCCCACCCCACAACAGGCCCCGGTGTGTGATGTTCCCCTTCCTGTGTCCATGTGTTCTCATTGTTCAATTCCCACCTATGAGTGAGAACCTGCAGTGTTTGGTTTTTTGTCCTTGCGATAGTTTGCTGAGAATGATGGTTTCCAGTTTCATCCATGGCCCTACAAAGGACATGAACTCATCATTTTTTATGGCTGCATAGTCTTCCATGGTGTATATGTGCCACATTTTCTTAATCCAGTCTATCATTGTTGGACATTTGGGTTGGTTCCAAGTCTTTGCTACTGTGAATAGTGCCTCAATAAACATACGTGTGCATGTGTCTTTATAGAAGCATGATTTATAATCCTTTGGGTATATACCCAGTAATGGGATGG